>NC_000023.11:21228397-21531427 GCF_000001405.40 Homo sapiens
CAGATATTATTTAAGGAAAGTCATACATTCTTTTTTTATATATATTTTTATTATACTATAAGTTCTAGGGTACATGTGTGCAACGTGCAGGTTTGTTACATATGTATACTTGTGCCATGTTGGTGTGCTGCACCCATTAACTCGTCATTTACATTAGGATTTACATTAGGTATATCTCCTAATGCTATCCCTCCCCTAGCCCCCCACCCCACAAGAGGCCCCAGTGTGTGATGTTCCCCTTCCTGTGTCCAAGTGTTCTCATTGTTCAATTCCCACCTATGAGTGAGAACATGCGGTGTTTGGTTTTTTGTCCTTGCGATAGTTTACTGAGAATGATTGTTTCCAGCTTCATCCATGTCCCTATAAAGGACATGAACTCATCATTTTTTACGGATGCATAGTATTCCATGGTGTATATGTGCCACATTTTCTTAATCCAGTCTATCATTGTTGGACATTTGGGTTGGTTCCAAGTCTTTGCTATTGTGAATAGTGCCGCAATAAACATACGTGTGCATGTGTCTTTATAGCAGCATGATTTATAATCCTTTGGGTATATACCCAATAATGGGATGGCTGGGTCAAATGGAATTTCCAGTTCTAGATCTCTTAGGAATCGCCACACTGTCTTCCACAATGGTTGAACTAGTTTACACTCCCACCAACAGTGTAAAAGTGTTCCTATTTCTCCACATCCTCTCCAGCACCTGTTGCTTCCTGACTTTTTAATGATCGCCATTCTAACTGGTGTGAGATGGTATCTCATTGTGGTTTTGATTTGCATTTCTCTGATGTCCAGTGATGATGAGCATTTTGTCATGTGTCTGTTGGCTGCATAAATGTCTTCTTTTGAGAAATGTCTGTTCATATCCTTTGCCCACTTGTTGATGGGGATGTTTGCTTTTTTCTTGTATATCTGTTTGAGTTCATTGTAGATTCTGGATATTAGCCGTTTGTCAGATGGGTAGATTGCAAAAATTTTCTCCCATTCTGTAGGTTGCCTGTTCACTCTGATGGTAGTTTCTTTTGCTGTGCAGAAGTTCTTTAGTTTAATTAGATCCCACTTGTCAATTTTGGCTTTTGTTGCCATTGCTTTTGGTGTTTTAGACATGAAATCCTTTCCCATGCCTATGTCCTGAATGGTATTGCCTAGGTTTTATTCTAGGGTTTTTTATGGTTTTAGGTCTAACATTTAAGTCTTTAATCCATCTTGAATTAATTTTTGTATAAGGTATAAGGAAGGGATCCAGTTTCAGCTTTCTACATATGGCTAGCCAGTTTTCCCAGCACCATTTGTTAAATAGGGAATCCTTTCCCCATTGCTTGTTTTTGTCAGGTTTGTCAAACATCAGATAGTTGTAGATGTGTGGTATTATTTCTGAGGGCTCTGTTCTGTTCCATTGGTCTGTATCTCTGTTTTGGTACCAGTACCATGCTGTTTTGGTTACTACAGCCTTGTAGTATAGTTTGAAGTCAGGTAGCGTGATGCCTCCAGCTTTGTTCTTTTGGCTTAGGATTGATTTGGCAATGCAGGCTCTTTTTCAGTTCCATATGAACTTTATAGTAGCTTTTTCCAATTCTGTGAAGAAAGTCATTGGTAGCTTGATGGGGATGGCAATAAATCTATAAATTACCTTGGGCAGTATGGCCATTTTCATATTGATTCTTCCTATCCATGAGCATGGAATGTTCTTCCTTTTGCTTGTGTCCTCTTTTATTTCATTGAGCAGTGGTTTGTAGTTCTCCTTGAAGAGGTCCTTCACGTCCCTTGTAAGTTGGATTCCTAGGTATTTTATTCTCTTCAAAGCAATTGTGAATGGGAGTTCACTCATGATTTGGCTCTGTGTTTGTCTGTTATTGGTGTATAAGAATGCTTGTGATTTTTGCACATTGATTTTGTATCCTGAGACTTTGCTGAAGTTGCTTATCAGCTTAAGGAGATTTGGGGCTGACACGATGGGGTTTTCTAGATATACAATCATGTCATCTGCAAACAGGGACAATTTGACTTCCTCTTTTCCTAATTGAATACCCTTTATTTCTTTCTCCTGCCTGATTGCCCTAGCCAGAACTTCCAACACTACGTTGAATAGGAGTGGTGAGAGAGGGCATCCCTGTCTTGTGCCAGTTTTCAAAGGGAATGCTTCCAGTTTTTGCCCATTCAGTATGATATTGGCTGTGGGTTTGTCATAAATAGCTCTTATTATTTTGAGATACATGCCGTCGATACCTAATTTATTGAGAGTTTTTAGCATGAAGGGCTGTTGAATTTTGTCAAAGGCCTTTTCTGCATCTATTGAGATAATCATGTGGTTTTCATCTTTGGTTCTGATTATATGCTGGATTACGTTTATTGATTTGTGTATGTTGAACTAGCCTTGCATCCCAGGGATGAAGCCCACTTGATCATGGTGGATAAGCTTTTTGATGTGCTGCTGGATTCGGTTTGCCAGTATTTTATTGAGGATTTTTGCGTCAAAAGCACTCCTCAGCAAATGTAAAAGAACAGAAATTATAACAAACTATCTCTCAGACCACAGTGCAGTCAAACTAGAACTCAGGATTAAGAAACTCAAAACCGCTCAACTACATGGAAACTGAACAACCTGCTCCTGAATGACTACTGGGTACATAACGAAATGAAGGCAGAAATAAAGATGTTCTTTGAAACCAACAAGAACAAAGACACAACATACCAGAATCTCTGGGACACATTTAAAGCTGTGTGTAGAGGCAAATTTATGCCCACAAGAGAAAGCAGGAAAGATCTAAATTTGACACCCTAACATCACAATTAAAAGAACTAGAGAAGCAAGAGCAAACACATTCAAAAGCTAGCAGAAGGCAAGAAATAAGTAAGATCAGAGCAGAACTGAAGGAGAAAGAGACACAAAAAACCATTCACAAAATCAATGAATCCAGGAGCTGATTTTTTGAAAAGATCAGCAAAATTGATAGACCGCTAGCAAGACTAAGAAAGAAGAAAAGAGAGAATCAAATAGATGCAATAAAAAATGATAAAGGGGAGATTACCACCGATCCCACAGAAATACAAACTACCATCCCAGAATACTATAAACACCTCTATGCAAATAAACTAGAAAATCTAGAATAAATGGATAAATTCCTCGACACATACACCCTCCCAAGACTAAACCAGGAAGAAGTTGAATCTCTGAATAGACCAATAACAGGCTCTGAAATTGAGGCAATAATTAATAGCTTACCAACCAAAAAAAGTCCAGAACCAGACAGATTCACAGCCGAATTCTACCAGAGGTACAAGGAGGAGCTGGTACCACTCCTTCTGAAACTATTCCAATCAATAGAAAAAGAGGGAATCCTCCCTAACTCGTTTTATGAGGCTGGCATCATCCTCATACCAAAGCGTGGCCAAGACACAACAAAAAAAGAGAATTTTAGACCAACACCCCTGAAGAAAGTCATACATTCTTTAGAGAAATAAGAGATGGTCTTTACTTAATTCTAATTAAGTCTTTCCAAAGGAGATGAATGCCAATCCAATGTAGCTGAAAATTCTTTATTTTAAATAGTCTCACAGTTTAATAACATATTTTGGCATTACTTTTGTCCAATATAAAATTAATCTTATATTGGCAATAAATTATCATTGCACAATAACACATTTGTTTCTGCTTTCTTTGCTGTTGATTTCTTCAGTGTTGACCATTTGCTTATTTATCCTTTCTATTAGCATTTGCTGATTGCTTATTATGCAGTTGACACTTTCCCAAACTTAAAGAAGATACAAATACATGGTCGTAACCCTCCAAAAGCCTATGTATAGAAAATAAGATAGGCATGCAGTAAACTGGCAGGCCAGCTGGGGGATGCATAGTCTATGAGAGCCTAGCAGAAAACACTTATTTCTGCTTCCCGTGCTTGTTCATCCTCCAGCAGCCTAGAGAAGCAAAAGAAGAAGTGCATAAGGCTTCTTGAGACCTAAGCTTGAAACTGACCCACTGTCACTCCCAATGCATCCTATTGGCCAAAGCAAGTCACAAGGCCAACCCATATTTAATGGGAAAGGATATAGGCTCCACCTCTTAATGGAAGGAGCAGCAAAGTAATTGTAGAAAAGCTGTGGATGCAAGGAGAGATAGAAGATTGGAGACATGTTTGCATAGTACCACATGCACAGTAAGACAACAGATCTAACCTAGAGGGAATCAAGAAAGGCAAAATACAGTCTTTAAATATTAGTATATTAGTATCTATAATAATATGCATTAAAAGGCAAATCAATACTTACATTGACAGTATAAAATAAGGAATCCAAAACATATAATTGAGTGATAGCCTTGAGTCAGTTGTTCTCTTGTTACATTTGTCACTTAGCTAAACCTCTGAAAAGTAAAGTAAGACATTTTTTTGTGAACTTTAGCTAAATATAAACTCTGTAATTCTTTTTTCTTTTTAAAAATTTTTCCATAAGTTATTAGGGTATAGGTGGTATTTGGTTACATAAGTAAGTTCTTTGGTGGTGATTTGTGAGATTTTGGTGTGCCCATCAACCAAGCAGTATACACTGCACCACATTTGTAGGCTTTTATCCCTTGCCTCCCTCCTACTCTTGCCCGCAAGTCCTCAAGGTCCATTGCATCATTCTTATGTCTTTGCATCCTCATACTTTAGCTCCCACATGTCAGTGAGAACAAACGATGTTTGGTTTCCCATTCCTGAGTTGCTTCACTTAGAATAATAGTCTCCTATCTTATCAAGGTCACTGCAAATGCTGTTAATTCATTCCTTTTTATGGCTGAGTAGTATTCCATTGCATATATATACCACAGTGTCTTTATTCACTCATTGATTGATGGGCATTTGGGTTGGTTCCATGATTTTGCAACTGTGAATTGTGCTGCCATAAACATGAGTGTGCAAGTATCTTGTTCGAATAATGACTTCTTTTCCTCTGGGTAGATACCCAGTAGTGGGACTGCTGGATCAAATGGTAGTTCTACTTTTAGTTCTTTAAGGAAGCTCCACACTGTTTTCCATAGTGGCTGTACTAGTTTACTTTCCCACCAGCAGTGTAGAAGTGTTCCCTGATCACTGCATCCATGCCAACATCTACTGTTTTTTGATTTTTTGATTATGGCCGTTCTTGCAGGAGTAAGGTGGTATCACATTGTGGTTTTGATTTGCATTTTCCTGATTGTTAGTGATGTTGAGCGTTTTTTCATATGTTTGATGGCCATTTGGGTATCTTTTAAGAATTGTCTATTCATGTCCTTAGCCCACTTTTTGATGGGATTGTTTGCTTTTTTCTTACTGATTTGTTTGAGTTCATTGTAGATTCTGGATATTAGTCCTTTGCCAGATGTATTGATTGTGAAGATTTTCTCCCTCTCTGTGGGTTGTCTGCTTATTCTGCTGACTGTTCCCTTTTGCCGTGCAAAAGTTCTTTAGTTTCATTAGGTCCCAGCTACTTATCTTTGTTTTTGTTGCATTTGCTTTTGAATTCTTGGTCATAAAATCCTTGCCTAAGCTAATGTCTAGAAGGGTTTTTCCAATGCTATCTTCTAGAATTTTTATAGTTTCAGGTCTTAGGTTTAAGTCCTTAATCCAAGTTGAGTTGATTTTTGTATAAGGTGAGAGATGAAGATACAGTTTCATTCTTCTACTGTAGCTAGCCAATTACCCCAGCACCATTTGTTGAAAAGGATGTTCTTTCCCCACTTCATGTTTTTGTTTGCTTTGTCGAAGATCAGTTGGCTGTAAGTATTTGAGTTTATTTGTGGGTTCCCTATTCTGTTCCATTGGTCTATATGCCTATTTTTATACCAGTATCACACTGTTTTGTTGACTACGGCCTTATAGTATAGTTTGAAATCAGGTAGTGTGATGCCTCCAGATTTGTTCTTTTTGCTTAGTCTTGCTTTGGCTATGCGGGCTCTTTTTTGGTTCCATATGAATTTTAGAATTGTTTTTTCTAATTCTGTGAAGAATCATGGTGGTATTTTGATGGAGATTGCATGAATTTGTAGATTGCTTGTGGCAATATGGTCATTTTCACAATATTGATTCTACCCATCCATGAGCATGGGATGTGTTTCATTTTGTTTGTGTCATCTGTGATTTCTTTCAGCAGTGTTTTGTAGTTTTCCTTGTAGAGGTCTTTCACCTCCTTGGTCAGGTATATTCCTAAGTATTTTATTTCATTTTTTTGCGGCTATTGTAAAAGGGGTTGAGTTCTTGATTTAATTCTCTGCTTGCTCGCTGCTAGTTTACAGAAGAGATACTGATTTGTGTACATTAATCTTGTATCCAGAAACTTTGCTGAATTATTTTATCAGTTCCAGGAGCTTTCTGGAGGAGTCCTTAGGGTTTTCAAGGTAAAAGATCATATCATCAGCAAACAGGGACAGTTTGACTTCCTCTTTACCAGTTTGGGTGCCCTTTCTTTCTCTCTTTTTTTCTGATTGCTCTGGCTAGGACTTCCAGTACTATGTTGAAGAGGAGTGGTGAGAGTGAGCTTCCTTGTCTTGTCCCAGTTCTCAGAGGGAATGCTTTCAATTTTTCCCCATTCAGTATTATGTTGTCTGTGGGTTTGTCAGAGATGGCTTTATTACATTAAGGTATGTCCATTGTATGCTGATTTTGTTGAGAGTTTTAATCATAAAGGGATGCTGGATTTTGTAGAATGCTTTTTCTGCATCTGTTGAGATAATCATATGATTTTTGTTTTTAATTCTTTTTATGTGGTATATCACATTTAATACAGATGCCCCATTATTGAGTATATATTTTATATAAATTATTCTAACACAAAGACACATGCACACATATGTTCATTGCAGCATTGTTCCTAATAGCAAAGACATGGAATAAAGAAAATGTGGTATATATGCACCACAGAATACTATGCAGCCATATAAAGGAACGAGATCATATTATCTGAAGCAACATGGATGGAGTTGGAGGCCATTATCCCAAGTGAATTAACACAGGAACAGAAAAGCAAATACTGTATCTTCTCACTTACAAATGGGAATTAAATTTTGCATACATATGGACACAAATAAAGGAACAACAGGCACCAGGGCCTACTTGAGGGGGTAGGGTGGGAGGATGGAGAGCACTGAAAAGCTACCTATTGGGTACTACGCTTATTACCTGTATGACAAAATAATCTGTATACCATACCCCCATGACACACAAGTTACCTACATGACAAACCTGCATGTATACCCCTGAACCTAAAATAAAAGTTAAAGAAAAGCATAACCCAACTCCATTTTGTTTACAAGCAACTAACTACAAATTCAACATATGTGGGTTGGAAGTAAAATGATGGGAAAGATAACCCATACAAACATCAAAAACAAGCTGAAGTAGCTATATTGATATCAGATAAAGTAGACTTCAGAACAAATAAAACTACGAGAGACAAATAGAAATGTTACATAATGACAGAAGGATTAATACACCAAGAAGACACAGTAATCCTAAATATGTACATATCAAAAATAGAGCCTCATAATAAAAAGCAAAAAATGATACAGCAAAAATTGATGTAACTGAAAGGAAAAATAAATCCAAAATTTTAGATGTGCATGTCATTATTCCCCTCTCAGCAATAGATTGAACTAGTAGACAGAAAATCAGCAAGTATACATGAAATCTGTATAATACATTTAGCCAACAAGACCATATATGTGTGTATGTATATATATATATATATATATATATATATATATATATATATATATATACACATCTATGTAATGGTTCACTGAAAACCAGCAGAATACACAATTTTTTAAACACCAATGGAATAATTCATCAGACAGATTATATTCCAGGTCATTAAAAAACTTAAATAAACTTAAAATAAGTAAAATCATATAGACTGTTCTCCTACCATAACAGAATCAAACTATGTATCAACACCAGAAAGGCAACAGGAAAATATTCAAACTCATAGACACTAAATATCACAATTTTAAATAATCCATAGGTCCAAGAGGAAAACAAAAAGGAAATTTAAAAATAAATAAAACTTGATGAAAATTAAAATACAACATGTCTAAGTATGTCAGATGTGGCTAAAGTAGTATTGAGAGGGAAATTCATAGTATTAAATGCTTATACAGTCATGCACCACATAATGATACTTCAGTCAATGATGGACCACATATACAATCATGGTATCATAGTTTTATAATGGATCTGACAAATTCCTATCATCTAGTGACATTTTAGCTATTATAATACATAGCAGAATGCATTACTCATGTGTTTGTGGTGATGCTGGTATAAACAAAACTTCTGCACTGCTAGATGTATAAATACATAGCACATACAACTATGTACAATACATGATACCTAAAAATGATTGTAAATGCTATGTTCCTGGTTTATTTATTTACTATACTGGACTTTTAATTGCAATTTTAGAGTGTACTCCTACTTACATAAAAATGTTAACTGTAAAGCACCATCAGCAGGTCCTTCAGAGGTATTTCACAAAAAAGCATTGTTGTCATATGAGATGACAGCTCCATGCGTGTTACCACCCCTGAAAATCTTGCAGTTGGACAAGATCTGGAGAGGGAAGACAGTGATGTTGATTATCGTGGTCCTGCATAGGCTTAGGATAATGTGTGTGTTTGTGTCTTGGTTTTTAACGAAAACCTTTTAAAAGTAAAAAGATAAAAAAAAATTTTAATTAGAAAAAACTCATAAAACAGGGATGAAAATAAAATATTTTGGGGAGGTGGGGACAGAGAAAGGTGGCCGAATTAGAAGCCTCCACTGATCATTCCCCATGCAGGAACACCGAATTATTTAACAACTATCTACACCAAAAAGCACCTGCATAATAACCAAAAATCAGGTGAGCAATTACAGTACCTGATTTTAACTTCGTATCAGTGAAAGAGGCACTGAAGTGGGTCAGAAAGACAGTCTTGAGGTGCCAATGCCACCCCTCACCCATCAACCAGTAACAGCTGCATGGCGCAGGTAAAGAATCTGTGTGCTAGGAGGAGGGAGGGAGAACATAGTGACTGTGGGAGTTTGCATTGGAACTCAGCGCTGCCCTATCAGAGCAGAAAGCAAAAACAGGCTGAACTCATTGATGCCCATGGAGGAGCATTTAGAAAAGCCCTAGCCAGAAGGGAATTGCCCATCCCAGGGATGAGAACTTGAATTTTGGCAAGCCTTGTCACCATGGGCTAGGGTGCTACAGGGTCATAAATAAATGTGAAAGGCAGTCTGGGTCACAGAGATTAAAACTCCTAGGCCAGGTAGTGGTTACAGCAGGCACTGGACGAGACCCAGTGCTGTATCACCTTCAGTTCTGACCCAGGACAGTTCCAGTGGTGGTGGCCACAATGGTGCTTGTGTCACCCCTCCCCTAGCTCCAGGTGGCTCAGCAAAGAGAGAGAGAGAGATCCCTTCGGTTTGGGAGAAAGTAAGGGAAGAGAACAAGAGTCTGTGCCTGATAATCCAGCACTCCTAGTCCTGTGCTGGGCTAGGAACCAGTGGACTTGGGAGGCATGTGACCTAGTGAGACACCAGGTGGGGCAGCTAAGGGAGTGCTTCTGCCATCCCTCCTCCAAAACCAAGCAAAGCAGTTTCCAGCAACATAAGTGATTCCTTCCTTCTGAAAATTAACAGAGAGGGAGAAGTAAAAAGGAATTTGTCTTATAGCTCAGTTATCAGCTCAGGCACAGTAAGATAGGGCACCTGGTAGTGTTATCAGGCCCCAGTTCCAGGTCTTAGCTCCCAGATGACATTTCTAGAAACACCCTGGGGCAGAAGGGAATCTGCCACCTTCAAGGGAAGTATCCAGTCCTGACAAGATTCATCATCTGCTGACTAAAGAGCCATTGGTTCGTGAATAATCAGTAGTGATACCCAGGTAGCAAATCATTGGCCTTGGGTGAGACTCTGATACTTATTGGTTTCAGGTGAGACTCAGCACATTCCTAGATGTGGTGACTATAGTAAGAGATTAGTTCTGCTTGAGAAAAGCAGAGGACAAAGTAAAGGGGACTTTGTCTTGCACCTTAGGTCCCAGCTCAGCCACAGAAAGCTAGAGCAAAAAACAAGATCTTGAGGTCCCTGATTCCAGGCTTTGGCCCTTAGATGACATCTCTGGAACTATCCCGGGCCAGAGGGGAATGCACTGCCCTGAAGGTTGAGTCCCAGGCCTGGCAATATTCACCATAAGCTGATTGAAGAGCCATTGGGCCTCAAGGGATTATTGGAGGTAGTCTGGCAGTACTCCCTATGAGTCTGTGGTGGTGGTGGCCATGGGGAGAGGGTCCTTTGCCTAGAGAAAGGGGAAGGAGGAGTGGGAAGGACATTATTTTGTGGTTTGAGTGCCAGCATAGCCATAGTAGAATAGAACACCAGGTAGGTTTATACATGGTTGTTTACTCCAGACCCTGCCTCCCTGAAGGCATCTCTGGACAAATCCATGGCCTGGGGGAACTCACTGCCCTAAAGGGCAGGAAAAAAGCAAAACTGGCTTTTTAACACCTGCTGATTGTAGAGCTCTTGGGCTTTGAGTAAACATAGGCACTAGTCAGCTAGTGGTTACACCCGGCCTGGGCCAAGACACAGTGCTATACCAGTTCTGAATCAGGGACAGTCCCAGTGGTGGTGGCCACCAGGGTGCTTCTGTCACCCCTTCCCCAGCTCCAGGTGGCTCAGCGAAGAGATAGAGATTCTATCTGGGAGAATGTAATAAAAAAAAAATCTGTGCCTGGTAATCCAAAGAGTTATTCCAGATCTTATTCAAGACCACCAAGGTGGTACCTCTACAGGTCTGCAGGAACCACAGTGTTACTGGGCTTGGGATGCCCCATAATGCAGATATGGCTAAGATTACAATACCCAAGACCCTTCCAATACCTGGAAAGCCTTCCTAAGACAAACAGGTACAAAACAGCCCAGACTGTGAAGTCTAAAATAAATACCTAAGTGTGCACTGCTCAGGTGACAGGCACACCAAAATTTCAGAAATCACCACTAAAGAACTTATGCATATAACCAAAAACCACCTGTTCTCCGAAAACTATTTAAATAAAATAAAATAAAATTTAAAATAAAATAAATTCCTAACTCTTCAATGCCCAGACACCAACAAAAATCTGCAGGCATTAAGACCATGCAGGAAAATATGTCCTCATTAAACAAACTAAGGCACCAGGGACCAATCCTGGAGAAACAGAGATATGTTAATTTTCAGACAGAGAATTCAAAATAGCTGTTTTGAGGAAACACAAAGAAATTCAAGATAATACAGAGAAGGAATTCAGAATCCTATCAGATCAATTTAACAAAGATTGAAATATTTTAAAAGCAGCAAGCAGAAATTCTGGAATTGAAAAATGCAATTAACATAGCAAAGAATACATTAGTGTCTCTTAATAGAATAACTCATCAAGCAGAAGAAACAATTGGTGACCTTGAAAACAGGCTACTTGAAAATACACAGAGGAGACAAAAGAAAATGACCGGGAAAGAATGAAGCATGCCTAGAAGATCTAGAAAATAACCTTAAAAGAGCAAATCTAAGAGTTATTGGCCTTAAAGATGAGGTAGAGAAAGAGATGGGATAGATAGGTTATTCAAATGAATAATAACAAAGACTTCCCAAAGCTAGAGAAAGATATCAATATTCAAGTACAAGAAGGTTACAGAACACCAAGCAGATTTAACCCAAAGAAGACTACCTCAAGGCATTTGATAATCAAACTCCAAGAGATCAAGGATAAAGGAAGGATCCCAAAAGCAGCAAGAGAAAAGAAACAAATAACATACAATGGAGCTCCAGTATTCCTGGCAGCAGACTTCCCAGTGGAAACTTTAAAGGTGAGGAGAGTGGCATGATACATTTAAAGTGCTGAAGGAAAAAAACTTTTAGATTAGTATATCCAGAGAAAATATCATTCAAACATGAAGGAGAAATAAAGACTTTTCAGACAAACAAAAACTAAGGTATTTCATCAATATTAGACCTATCCTACAAGAAATGCTAAAGGGAGTTCTTTAATCAGAAAGAAAAAGATGTTAATAAGGAATAAGAAATCACCTGAAGGTACAAAACTCACTGGTAACAGTAAGTACACAGAAAAACACGGAATATTATAACACTGTGTTTGTGGTGTGTAAACTACTCTTAAGTAGAAACAGTAAAAGCTGAGCCAATAAAAATAATAAGTACAAAAACCTTTCAAGACATAGCACAATAAGATATAAATATTAACAGCAAAAAGTTAAAAAGTAGGGCAATGAAGTTAAAGTGTAGAGTTTGTATCAGTTCACTTTTGGCTTGTTTCTTTGTTTATGTAATTAGTGTTAACTTGTCATCAGTTTAAAATAATGAGTTTAAAATAAAATAGTATATGCAAGCCTCATGGTAACCTAAAATTAAAAAAATACATAAAATACACAAAAAATAACAAGCTATGATTTGGAAGCAACCTAAGTGTCCATCAACAGAAGGATGGATAAAGAAATTGTGGCAAATCTACACAATGGAATACTACTCAGCCATAAAAATGAATGAGATCCAGTCATTTTCAACAGCATGGATGGAACTACAGGCCATTTGTTAAGTGAAATAAGCCATGCACAGAAAGAGAAACTTCACATGTTCTCAGTTATTTGTGGGACCTAAATTCAAAACAATTGAACTCATGGAGATTGAATGTAGAAAAATGGTTACCAGAGGCTGGGAAAGATAGTGGGTGCATGGGGCATAAGAGGGGATAGTTAATGGGTATAAAAGTAGTTCAAATGAATGAATAAGACCTAGTATTTGATAGCCCAGCAGGGTGACTATAGTCAATAATAATTTAATTGTACATTTTTAAATAACTAAAAGAGTATCATTGGATTTTTTGTAACACAGTAAATGCTTGAGGCGATGGATACACTATTTATGCTGATGTGATTATTATACACTGCATGCCTATATAAAAATATTTCATATACTCCAGAAATACACATACCAACTATGTAACAACAAAAATTAAAAATAATAATGTTTTTTAAAGTAAATATTTTTGTACAGCTCTACAGTGTGTTTGTGTTTTAAATTAAGCATTATTACAAAAGAGTCAAAAGTTAAAAAGATTTTAAATGCTTATAAATTAATAAGGTTATAGTAAGCTAAGGTTAATTTATTATGAAGAATAAAAAATATCTTTTATAAATTTAGTGTAGCCTAATTGTACAATGTTTATAAAGTCTAGGTAGTGTACAGTAATATCCTAGGCCTTCATATTCACTCACTACTCACTGACTCACCCAGAGCAACTTCCAGTCCTGCAAGCTCCATTTATGGTCAGTGTACCATACAGGTACACCATTTTGTATCTTTTATACTGTTAGCATACCCTTAGGTAGTACAGTTTGAATATATTAACCTAATATATTTTTACTGTACTATTTAATGTTTAGATATATTTGATACACAAATACTTAGCATTGTGTTACAATTGCCTATAGTATTCAGTACAGCAATAGGCTGTGCAGGTTTGTACCCTAGTTTTGTAGTAGGCTATACCATTTAGGTTTGTGTAAGTATACTCTATTATGTTTGCACAACAAGGAAATTGCCTAACAATGCATTTCACAGAACGCATCCCTTCATTAAACAACAAATGACTGTATTAGAAATTAGAAAAGGTAGAAAATCAATTAATCCAAATTCCTACTGCAAAAAAAAAAACTAGAAAAAAAGAGCAAACTAAACGCAAAGCAAGCAGAAGGAATTAAATAATAAAGAGCAAAAATTAATGAAATTGAAAATATTAAACAATAGAGAAAATCAATAAAATAAAAAGCTTGTTCTTTGGGAAAAAAATCAATAAAATAAGCTCTGGCAAGACAGACAAAATTTTTAAAAGAGGACACAATCACCAATATTAGGAATGAAACAGGATCTCACTAGAGAATTTGAAGCCATCAGAATGATAAAAAGGAAATAATAGGGTTATGAATTGAATTGTTTCTCCCCACTAAAAGACATGTCTAAGTCCTAACCCCTAGTACCTCAAGATGGTACCTTATTTGGAAATAGGGTATTTATACTGGTAGTCAAGTTAGAATGAGGCCTTTAGAGTTAGCTCTAATCCAATATGACTGGTGTCCTGATAAAAAGGAGAAAATTGGATACAGGGACAGACATGTATAGAGAGAAGACAATGTGAAGAGACACAGGGAGAATGCCATGTGAAGATGGAAGCATATATTGGAATTATGCTGCCACAAGCCAAGGAATATCTAGGGTTACTAGAAACTGAAAGGCATGGAATGATACTTCCCCTATAGGTTCCAGAGGGAGTGTGGCCTGCTGATGCCTTGATTCTGGAATTCTAGCCTCTAGTAGGAGACAGTAAATATCTGTTTTTCTTTTTTTTTTAATTTCCATTTTTATTTTAGATTCAGGGGGTACATGTGCATGTTTGGTTACAAGAGTATATTGTGTGGTGCTGAGGTTTGGGCTTCTGTTGATCCTATCATCCATATAGTGAACATAATACCCAATAGGAACTTTTTCAGACTCTGCCCCTCTCCCTTCCTTCCTCGTTTTAGAGTCTCCAGTGTCTATTCTCATCTTTATGTCCATTTGAAACCACGATTTAGCTCCCACTCATAAGTGAGAACATGTGTTATTTGGTTTTCGGTGTCTGTGCTAATTTGCTTAGGGTAACTGCCTCCAGCTGCCTCAGTGTTGGTGCAAAGGGCATAATTTCATTCATTTTTATGGCTTCGTTCCATGTTGTATATGTACCACATTTTTTTTATCTGCTCCACCAAGGATGGGCACTCAAATTGATTCCATGTCTTTGCTATTGTGAATAGTGCTGCCATAAACATACAAATGCATGCATCTTTTTGGTAGAATGATTTATTTTCCTTTGGGTATGTACCCAGTAATAGCATTGCTGGGTCAAATGGTCGTTCTGTTTCCAGTTCTTTGAGAAATCTCCAAAGTGCTTTCCACATGGGCTGAACTAATTTGCATTCCCATCAACAGTGTATGAGCATTCTCTTTTCTCCACAACCTCAACATCTACTATTTTTTGACTTTTTAATAATAGCCATTCTGACTGGTGTGAGGTGGTATCTCATTATGGTTTTGATTTGCATCTCTCTGATGATTAGTGATGTTGAGCAATTTTTTTCATGTCTTTGTTGGCCACTTGTATGTCTTCTTTTGAGAAGTGTCTATTCATGTCCTTTGCCCACTTTTAAATTAGGTTATTTATTTTTTTCTTATTGATTCATTTAAGTTCCTTATAGATTCTGGATATTAGTCCTTTGTCAGATGCATAGTTTGCAAAGATTTTCTTCCATTCTGTGGGTCATCTGTTTGTTTGTTTGAGAGTTTCTTTTGCTATGCAGTAGCTCTTTAGTTTAAGTTTCAATTGTTTATTTTTTATTTTGTTGCATTTGGTTTTGAAGACTTCATCATGAATCTTTTGCCTAGGCCAATGTCTAGAAGAGTATTTTATAGGTTTTCTTCTAGAAATTTTATAGCTTGAGGTCTTATATTTAAGCTTTTATTCCATCTTGAATTAATTTTTGTATATGGTGAAATATAGGGGTCCGGTTTCATTCTTCTGCATATGATTAGCCAATTTTCCCAGAATCATTTATTGAAAATTGTACCCTTTCCCCATTGTTTATTTTTGTTGACTTTGTCAAAAATGAGGTGGTGGTAGGTATGTGGCTTTGTTTCAGGGGTCTTTTTCTGTTTCATTGGTTTACGTGTCTATTTTTGTACAGTACCATGCTGTTTTAGTTGCCATATCCTTGTAGTATAGTTTGAAGTCAGGTAATATGATACCTCTGGTTTTGTTCTTTTTGCTTAGGATTAGCTTGTCTATTTGGGCTCTTTTTTGGTTGCATATGAATTTCAGAATAGTTTTTTCCAATTCATTGAAAAATGATGCTACTTTGATAGGAATAGCATCAAATCTGTAGATTGCATTGGGTAGTATGGGCATTTTAAAAACATTGATTCTTCCAACTCATGAGCATGGAATGCTTTTCCATCTGTGTCATTTCTGATTTCTTTGAGCAGTGTTTTGTAGTTCTCCTCATAAAGATCTTTTTCCTTGGTTAGGCATATTCCTAGGCTTTTTATTTTTTGTGTGACTATTGCAAATGGAATGTATTCCTGATTTGGTTCTTGGCTAGACCATTATTGGTGTATAGAAATGGTACTTTTTTTTTTTACACTGATTTTGTATTCTGAGACTTTGCTGAAGTCATTTACCAGGTCTAAGAGACTGTTGGCAGAATCTTTATGGTGTCCTATGTATAGAATTATACCACCAGCGAAGAAAGATAATTTGACTTCCTCTTTTCCCATTTGGATGCTTTTTATTTATTTCTCTTGCCTGATTGCTCTGCTCTGGCTGGGACTTCCAGTATTATGTTGAATAGGAGTGGTGAGAGTGAACATCTTTGTCTTGTTCCAGTTTTTAAAGGGAATGCTTCCAGCTTTTTCCTGTTCAGTATGGTGTTGGCTGTGTGTTTGTTGTAGATGGCTCTTATTATTTTTAGGTATGTTTCTTTGATGCCTAGTTTGTTGAGGGTTTTTATCATGAAGGAACATTAGATTTTATCAAATGCTATTTCTACATCTATTGAGATGATCAATAAGTTTTTGTTTTTAATTCTGTTGATGTGGTGAATCACATTTATCGATTTGCATATGTTGAACCATCCTTGCATCCCAGGAATAAAGCCCACTTGTTCATATCTATTTTGATATGCTTCTGGATTCAATTTGCTAGTATTTTGTTAAGGATTCTTGTGTCTATGTTTATCAGCGTTATTGGTCTGTAGTTCTTGTTGTGTCTTTGCCAGATTTTGGCATCAGGATGATACTGGTTTCATAGAATGAGTTAGGGAGGTGTTCCTCCTTGATATTTTGGAATAGTTTCAGTAGAATTGGTACCAGCTCTTCTTTGTATCTCTGCAACAATTCAGCTGTGAATTCATCTGATCCAGGACTTTTTTGGTTGGTAGGTTTTTTTTTTATGACTGATTCAATCTTGATACTCATTATTGGTCTGTTCAGGATTTCTATTTCTTCCTAGTTCAATCTTAGGAGGTTGAGTGTTTCCAGGAATTTATTCATTTCCTCTAGAAAGAATAATACTTGCTACCACACAAAAGCACACACAAGTACTTAGTGCATGGACCCTATAAATCAACTAAATATTCATGACTACACAGCAACTATCTAATAACATTATTACCAGGATAATATCTCACATATCAATATTAACCTTGAACAGAAACAGCCTAAATACCCCACTTAAAATTGGATTAAAAAACGAGAACAAGACTCATCCTTCTGCTATCTGCAAGAGATCCATCTCACAGGTAATGACACCCATGTGTTCAAAGTAAAGAAATGGAGAAAGATCTACTATGAAAAGAGATAACAAAAAAGAGCAGATGTTGCTATTCTTGTATCAGATAAAATAAACCTTAAACTTACAACAGTTAAAAAAGGACAAAGAAAGGCATTGCATAATGATAAAGGATTCAATTCAACAAGAAGATTTAACTATTCTAAAAATATATGCACTCAACATTGGAGCACCCAGATTCATAAAACCATTACTTCTAGACCTAAGAAAATATTAACAGCCACACAATAATAGTGGGAGATTTTAACACCTCACTGACAGCATTAGACAGATCATCAAGGCAGAAACTAACAAAGAATTTCTGGACATAAATTCGACACTTGACCACCTGAGCCATCTGCAGAGTACTCCATCCAACAACCACAGAATGTACATTCTTCACATCCACACACGGAACATACTTGAAGATTGACCACATGCTCAGTCATAAAGCAACTCTCAATAAATTTAAAAAATCAAAATAATACCAAGTATATTCTTGGACCACAATGAAATAAAAATATAAATCAAACCAAGAGGAACTGTCAAAACCACACGAATACATGGAAAGTAAACAATTTATTCCTAAATGGGTAAACACTGAAATTAAGGCAGAAATCAAAACAGTCTTTGAAACAAATGAAAATAAAAACACAACATACCAAAACCTCTGGGATATGGCAAAAGTAGTGTTAAGAGGAATGTTTTAGCACTAAACACCTAGATCAAAAACATAGAAAAATCTCAAATTAATAAACTAAACTTGCACCTAAAAAGAACTAGAAAAACAACAATAAACTAAATTCAAAGTTATCAGAAGAAATAACTGAAATAAGTGCAGAGCTAAATGAAATTGAGGACCAAAAATATATATAAAAATCAATGAAATGAAAAATTGGATCTTTGAAAGTATTAACAAGATTGAGAGACCACTAACAGGATTAGCAAAGACAAAGAGGGAGAGAATATAAATAAGTGCAATCAGAAATAACAAAGGTGGTATCACAACTAATCCCACAGAAATTTCTGTTCTAAGTTATCCAGTTTGTAGTACTTATTACATGAGCCTTAGGAAATTAATACAAATATTAACAACTTTATGCTTATAAATACGACAATTAGAAGGAAAATGGCCACTTTCTACCAAAACTTAAGCAGGATGAAATAGATAATCTGAATTATCCCATAACTATTAACAAAATTTAATATGTAATTTAAAAGCTCTGAAAAAGAAAACTCTAAGCCTAGATAGTTGCACAGAAGCATTCTGCAAAACATTAAGGAAGAATTAACACCAATTTTACACAGTCTCTTCTAGATGAAGGCAGAGGAAGGAATACTTCTTAACTCACTATATAAAGCCAGTATTACCCTTATACCAAAATAAATAATACAAATAACTATAAAAATTGCAGAAGAACATCTCCCATAAATTTAGATATAAAATTCTCAAAAAAAATTAACAAATTTAATTTAAAAATGTATTAAAAATTTACATAACATGACCAGGTAGGATTTATTCCAGGTATGTAAGACTGGTTTAACACTTCAAAATCAATCAAAGTAATCCACTATATAAACAGACTAAAGAAGAGAAGTCATATGATTAAGTCAATTAACATGGAAAAAGTATTTGGAAAAATCCAATAGTCATTCATGATTTTTGAAAAACTCTTATCAAGTTAAAAATAGAAGGGCATTGCCCAAACTTGATAAAGAGTATTTATTTTTAAAAAACCCTACAGTTAACGTCATACTTCATGAAGAAAGACTGAATGTTTTTTTTCCTAAAATTGATAACAATGGGAGAATAGCCATGCACATCACTTTTTTTCAAAATAGTGCTTGAAGTTAGGGCCACTGTAATAAGTCAAGAAAAGGACATAAATGACATTCAGTTTTTTTAAATGAGAAAATAGAAGTAGTCCTATTTGTAGATGACATGATTATCTATGTCAGAGATCATGAGGAGAATAAAAGAAATCATGAGGAATCTCAAAAAAATGCTAAAACTAATAAGTGAGTTTGGCAAGGTCACAGGGCACAATATTAACACACAAAAATCAATCTCATTTTTATATACTAAAAATGAACATAAGAAAATCAAAATTAAAAACATGATACAATCTACAATCACTCCCAAGAAAATCGAATACTTAGGTATATGTTTACCAAAATATGTACAGGGTATGTATACTGAAGATTTCAAAATGGTGATGAAAATAATCAAAAGCGACCTACATAAATGAAGAGATATCTCATGCTCGTGTATTAGAGGAGTCAACATTGCAAAGATGTCAAATTTCCCCCAATTTATTAATGTAATTCCTATCAAAAACCCAATAATATTTTTGTAGATATCAACAATAGTAGTGTTCTAAAATTGGTATGAAAAGGCACAGTCCATAGAATATATAAAACAATCTTGAAAAAGAAGAATAAAATGGGAAGAATCACTCTACTCAATATTCAGACTTACTTATAGCTACATAATGAAGACAATGTTGTATGGGCAAAGGGATAGACACATATATCAATGGAACAGAATAGAGAACTTAGAAAAAGACCCAAAATAATATGTTTAATTTTTGACAAAGGTGTACATGCAAACCAAATCAAAGAAGGAAGAACAGCCTTTTCAATGGATAGTACTGAAGCAATTGGACACAAATGGGAAAAAAAAACCCTTGACTTAATTCTCACAAATTATACAAAAAAAACTCAAAATGGATACTGTGCTTAAATGTAAAACATAAAACTACGAAACTTTTAGAAAAAATTATGAGAAAATCTTCAGGTTCTAAAGCTAGGCAAAGAGTTCTTATACTTGATACCAAAAGCACAATGCACAAAAGAAGAAACTTGATAAATGTTTCCAGAGACTTAGTAAACCACATCACATCTAATACATGAAAGGTAATTCAATATCATTAACTATCAGGGAAATGCAAATTGAAACCATAACGCGATATTACTATATACCTATCAGAACAGCTGAAATAAAAATATAGTGACAACATCAAATGCTAGTGAGGATGTGGAGAAAGTAGATTACTCGTATTGCTGGTAAAATGGTACAGCCACTCTGGAAAACAGTTTGGCAATTTCTTTTAAAACTAAACATGTGATTACCATATAACACAATTTCACTCTTGGGCATTTATTTCAGAAAAATAAAACTTTTTTTTCATACTAATACCTGTGCACTACTGTTCATACAAGCTTTATTCATATAGCCAATAACTGAAAACATCCCAGAAGTCTTTCAATGGGTGAATGATTAAACAATCTATAGTGTATCCATACAACGTAACACTACTCAGCAATAAAATAGAACAAACTACTGATACACAAGACAGCTTGGATACATTCCTAGGGAATTATGCTGAGTGAAAAAAGCCAATCCCCAAAATTTAAATACTATATAATTCCATTATAACATTTTGAAATGACAAAATTATAGAAATGGAGAACAGATTAGTGGTTACCAGTGGTCAGGGACCAGGACAGGGATGAGGAGGGAGGGAGGTGGGCAACACAAGGGATTTTTATGATGATAGAACTGTTCTATTTCTCAACTTAAGTAGTGGATACATGAGCACATTATATAGAATTCAATACACCCACACCCACACCCACACACACACACAAATATAGGTAAAACTGGAAAATTCTTACCTAGATTGGTGGTGGATTGTATCAATGTCAATATCCTTTGTGACATTGTATGACAGGTTTGCAAGATGTTACCATTTGGAGAAACCAAGTTAAAGGGTACACTGGCTCTCTCTGTACTATTCTTACAACTGCATGTGAATCTAAACTCACTGAGAACAAGCAGGAAGTAATATAGGCATTCTTAATTCTCAAACAGGGACCTATATTTTCGTTGGTATATGTCCTTAGCATTTTTAAAAAGCCTCTCATGGTGCCACTTGTATTTTATCAGCATCTCCTATATGAAATGAAATGTACATAAGGTTTTGAAGTATTAAAATTTCCAAATAATAATAGCAGAAAGAAAAATATCTTCAAATACCTTGTCAGTAGAAAGTAAAGAAGCTAAGGGTCTAAATCAACTGCCCATATTCTTTTGGAAAAAATATCAAACTTTCAATGTATAGATTAGGTAGCAATTTCAAGAGAATTTTTTTCTTTATATTTTACTTTTTTCCTAGGATAATTTTATTTAGTGATTGAAATTTAGAATAAAAAAGACAAAGAACAAAAGATAAAAGGAGGCAGTAGACTCAGGATCCTGGAGTCTAGTCTCAAATCTGCTACTATCTGTGAGTTTGGGCAGAACTACTCAACCTTTTTGTATCTCGACTTTCTGGTAAAAATAAAAGCATTATACCAAACCCCAAGGTTCCTTCCAGTTTGAAAATAGTCTATGATCCTATGAAATTTAGAATGTTGATGAAGGTATAGTTGATAATGTTTCATCCCATTCCTTCATTAGACCTAATTTAATGAAGTTCTCCATGGTAACTTCAATTGGCAATCCACGCATTCCCTTCAGCTGTGTAAATGATGCTCCTCATTCCAATATGACTGTCCAGGCTTCACTACCAAGTCTCTAAGTGCTAATTAACTTTGAAACTGCTCTCCAATATGGGCTGCATTACAATTCAGAGTAAACTGCTTCTATCTCCCTCAGATTGTTCTCAATTTGTTTTCAGACACATGGAGTGTCATTTTACTGCTATTCTTAACTGTTTCCTTTGGAGTTCCTCTTTTTCAGTCATTCCATTGAATGAAATAATTTTGAAGCAGAGAGAGATTGAAAAAAGTTTTAATCATATAGCAGCTTCAAGACTTCTTAGCTGCTAGTGCTTTGGGGGGGCTCTTGCCTCACATTCTTCTGTGGCTCAGGTATTATTGTTCTCAAGAGTTACCCTTGGTACAAATTCTCATACTACCTGATCCCCACCCTCTGCTCAAAACCATAAGTATCTTTACTGGATCACCAAATCAGAGCCTCTTTCCCAAGGAGCACATCTGGGTATTGACCATCACTATGAAATTATTCTGCTATATTACTCAGGTTTTCTACATTACTGCTGCCTTACAAGGATCCTTCTTCCCCAATTCTCATTGGCTTACAACCACAATATTTATTTCTCTCTCACAGATCTACAGGTCAGATGTTGGTCAAATGGACTTGAGTGGGCTTGCCTGGCTTGGCTCCTGGCTACAATTGACAGCGTGTCCATTTTGCATGTCTCTTCATTCTGGAACCAGCAGCTGATCAACAGTTAATATTCTTCTCATGAAAGAGTATAGATTTGCAAGAGTATTGGCAGAAACTTTCCATATTTCTTTGAGGTTTTTAACTCAAAACTGTCATACTCTCAATTGTGTACACATTTCATTGGCCAAAGTAAATCATATAAACAATCCAAACATCAATTGGATTGGGGAAGTCTATTCTACACATGGAGAATCCATGGTAAAGGCAGAGAGGGAAAGAACAATTGTAAACAAATAATATCATCTATTTCTGTTTACTACTATAAAGAGAAAAAAGTAAAGGCAACTAGAATTACCCCAGTCTAGATTGAAGGAGTTTTATGGTCTCAAGTTGCTTTTGGAGAGTGATAATCTGGATCTTGGAAACATGCTCTCAGTTTTAATGATCTCTTCATTCTTTCTTCCTGCCTAGACCTGGAGGGCTTCATCAAATGGCCTGTGCTGACATCCCACAGCTTCCAAGCTGTAAGGTGGGAAAGAGACTTGGAATTGGACATGCAGTAAGAATACTTAATGTTTGGGGTAGGGTATGGCGATCAAATAGTATGAAGGGATGAGTACCACAGAAAGTTTTCCTAGCCTTGATTTTCTCAAAGAACTGGGTGGTATAACAAAACAAGGGTCACATGAATAAAGAAAATGTTACACTGTATCAAGGGTAACTCTCTCAAAATTGAGAACAGTGAGACCTGAGCCCCAGAGGAATGCTGGGCAAAGATCTTCCAAAAGAGCTAGCAGCTAAGCAAGAAGTCTTGAAGCTGCTATATGATTAATACCATCTCCAGTCTCTTCCTGCATTGATAGTCACACACACACTCTCTCTCTCCCTATGTCTCTGTCTCTTTCCTTCCTCTCTTCCTCTCTCCCTCTCTCTCTCTCTCTCTCTCTCTCTCTCAAAAAGATGTAGTGACTTGCCCAAGGACAGAGAATGTTAGTGTTGGAAGTAATACAAATTTTGACTAAAGACTAACATTGATGTCCTACATCTGTTGTTGACTCCCACACTCACCAAGGTCAGAAAAGCCACTAAGGAGTATTTTGAAAACTCGAGAGGAACTTTTTTATTTTGACAATGATTTGGGGGTGGTACTGGCATTTGGTGGGTTGGGTTGACAGATATCCTACAACGAGCAAGACGCTGACATACAAAAAACGTTTGATATCCCCACATGAATTTCGAATGTCTTAATGCAGCCATGTAAATGAAAATCCCATTTATAGGTGTTTATACCTAGAATCTAACTCCATGTCACACAAAGTGTTCTCTGTAAGGTGTTAATTTGCACTGAATTTTTTAGAACTGCAACCACTGTATAAATTAAAGGAAGATTGTATTTTGTTTCATTAGTTTTGCTCTAAACTTTACCAAGGGTTGTATACCATTCAGAAAAGTCATATCTCAAAGGCAATGCTACATGTGTATTTGGGTCAACAATACAACTCACCTGTATTAGTCTGCAGCTGTAGTTCTTGCGTCCACACTGATTAGAATAATAGGTGCAAGCAATGGACATTATGTCTTAAAGTACTGTCATGCCTGAACACATATTGAAACATATTATAAATTACATATTTGCATGTAATTTATTATATGTAATAAACACATACTGAAGCACATTACCTGTTGTAAAACACATATTATTAAAATATATTTTTTATAAATTACTGTCCTTTTATTTCTCTTTTATATTACAATTTGGATATTCTATTGCTTTTTAAAAACATCTATATAAGCTATATATGAATTTTATTTCAAGGTACTAAAATGGTACCAAAATTTTAAAAGGTAACAAATATTTTACAATAATTGTGTAAAATATTTTTGTAAAATAGTTTAAAAGCATCCAAATATTTACAAAAATAGTTGTTATAAAAACAATACTACTTTTGATAGGTTTGAAAACTCTCTATGCCATCCTGCTGTTTCTTTTCCAACTATTTTTCTAGCTAAAAATGACACATAGAAGTATCAACCCTTGATTGACAATTTATAATTGTGAATTAATGAAATCAAATTTAATGAAGTGTTATTGATAAATGTCTAGTTTACCCTCAATTCACTAATTCAAGGGTCAATAATTCTTCCCTTAAATATGTTTTTTACAAAATGCTTTTTGGCCTCTTTTCTTCATGCCTTCCCTTCTCTAAGCTACTATTATCATAGTCATATCTTAGCTCTAATCATTGCATGTTAAAAGATCTTTCAGAAAAAACAAGAGCTAATCTGTATTTGGTCCAATAGAGAACACATTCTATGGCTTATTCAATTATGTAATAATAACAGTGCTTAGAGTCAGACTTTCTGGGGTTTTATTGTTGTTGTTCCTTGTATTTATCTGCCATTGAATGCTTTTCTGACTTGATTTCCCTATTTTCAAACTGGTCTTATTTTTTCTTACTGAATATTTATGCTTTGTAATCTTCTGAATTAAGATAATTCCATTGGAAAAAAGCATCCTTATTCTATCTGATTCACCCTATTTGAATTTCCCCCCAAATTATCTTCCAGTACATCAGCCAAATTTATTAATATGCTATGTCAAATATTAAACACTGGGGGGAGGATAAAAATCAATAATCCCAATTTGTGCTTTCAAGGATTTTCTTCTCCTGGTTGCAGAAATCCATACCCTAGAAATAAGGAGAAGATAATGATATCCGTACACATAGCATTATCGTTAAACGCCCATACACAAGCACATCAGTTTCTCATACAGTTTTTCAGTTCTTAGTATTATGGTATAATTTATTTTCAGAAACTCAGTATAATCTTTAAGGAAAAAAAAATGAAAACTGTCTATAGGTGTCCAAACTCAGCACTTTAAAATTAAACTACATGCCATGAAGATACTGTCAACTAGAATGAATTGAATTGCTTGCATGTCTAGTTCAAATTGCCATTACTCATCGGCTTATTTGGTGTTCAACTATCATATATAAACCCAGGTATATTAGTCAGCTTTTGCGCTCTGATAAAGACATACCTGAGACTGGGCAACTTACAAAAGAAAGAGGTTTAATGGACTCACAGTTCCACGTGACTGTGGAGGCCTCACAATCATGGCAGAAGGTGAAAAGCACATCTCACATTGTGGCAGACAAGAGAAGAGAGCTTGTGCAGGGACACTCCCCTTTATAAAACCATTGGATTTCGTGAGACTTAATTCACTATCACGAGAGCAACATGGGAAAGCCCCACCCCTATGATTTAATTACCTCCCACTGGGTCCCTCCCATGACATGTGAAAATTATGGGAGCTACAATTCAAGATGAGATTTGGGTGGGGACACAGCCAAACCATGTCACCAAGTCAAAGACATAAGGTTCAAATCATAATTATTGCCTTAGGGGAACTCATTTTTGTCACAAAATAAATAATGGGCTTATAAAAGTTACCCATATATTTATATGTCTTTGTCTGGAATTTATGCTTTAGTCCAATTTATAAGCAAGAATTATGTCATCTTAGCAGATGGTCCTACATGCAAATAACCAAAAGAACAGGAAGAATTGGAAGTTTGTGTTTCAGTAGGGTTTCTACATAATGGAATATAATTCAGGATGAAAAAATAAGAGACAATTATGTAAAGCCAGGAAGAAAAGCATCATCACTCTAGCTGTACATTAGTATCACCTGGAGGGATTTAAAAATATATACCACTGATTCAGACATAGCTAATCTGAGGAGTGGCCTGGATGTTGGGATTTTTAAAAGCTCCCCATGTGATTCCAAGACAAAGCCTAGGTTGAGACCTATAGCACCAAACAAAACCTGGAATTCAATGTGTTACCAAACATATTTAATGGATATTTAAAGTAAATATTTGAAAGAGACTTTTCTCCAAGCAAAAAGTGGTTCTGTCGGTATAATAAAATATTTTCCACAGCTGTAAGTGATAATATGTATTTTCTTCCTAATATGAATAATTACTTATTTTATCAAAATAATTTAGGTCAAAGAATTATAATATATATAATATTTCTGACTAACATAGTTTTAAAAAATATGACATGCGTATATATAATTAAATGCAATAAAAACGGGTACTTCAAATTGTGAGTGAATTGCTAAAGTTCCATCATTATACAACAACTCTAAGTATGCATGTTTCTAACTGCCAAAAATTATGGACATATTTTATGCTGAGAGCTCAGGCAGAGTTAGACACAGCAGATGGTATCATGGCTTTGCTCAAACTGTTTAGATTACAGACACAATAATATAGCATTTTTTTTGCATTTGTGTCATTACCTACATCTGTATCAGTTTAAAGATTTACTTATATTAACAGCCAAGCAAAATCCCCTTTATACAGGATGTCTGAAACAAAAGTCAATGCGGTTAAGGAAGTGAAATATGTGTAATGTATGCAATTTTAGCTCAGTTAACCCCATATCAACTCACTGAAAGCTAACTCTGTGTAAATCCATTCTATTCATAATTTGATCCAAAACAAGCAGCATCAACATCACTTGGGAGTTTGTTAGAAATACAGAATCTGAGGTTCCACCTTGACCTACAGACTCAGAATCTGCATTTTAACAAAATCCCCAAATGGTGCACATTAAGACTTATGTGATTACTCTGGGCAATTTGTATTCACATTAAAGTTTGCATGACCACCTCGCCAAATTTTCTAATTTTCTCAAATTACCAAAAGCATGTCTTAAGGAACAGTCTTGAATGTGTGCAATTAATATATTCAATAACTATATTCTCCTTAGCAGCATTTTAAAGAATATTCAGTCCAAAGCTAAGGGTCATAGCACAGAATAGTCTTTTTACAAAGCTATTCTTTTTATCAACATATTTGTAATGAAGGTAATCATGAATAATATGGGGTGGTTTTAAATATATTCTCAAGTGAAAATATATTAATGAAGGATATATTCATAAGTACACACACTCAAAATATATTTTTATTCTTTTTATTATTATTATTATTATTTTGTAGCGATGGGGTCTCACTCTGCCACCCAGGCTGGTCTTGAACTCCTGGCCTGAAGTGATCCTCCTGCTTTGTCTTCCCAAAGGGGTGGGATTATAGGCATGAGCCACTGCATTGGGCCTTATTCTTAGTTTTGGAATACAAACCATATTTTTTAGTAAATTGCTAGAAATTAGGAAAAATTGACAAATGGTCCATTTGATAAAATAGTAATTTGACCAGTTAGCCTTAGGCAAAATGGCATTTGGTAAATTGATTTTTACTGGTCAGCTTGTTCCATTGAGCATGGTAACTCTATCCATATTTTTATTATACTTTTATTTCCACTGCAGTTTTAAAACCGCTTGAGTAGGCTGGTAAATATTCAGGCAATGTTAAATAGGGGTTAAGAGCAGACTTGGATTTGAATATTAGATCTACTCCTAGTATGGTTTTGATGAACTTATTTAACCCTCTAAGACTGTGTTTCCCTAGACCACATGGCTGTTGTGATAATAATACACAAGTCCCTAGTACATATTAATCACTCACTAATTTTTATTATAATTCTTGTCATTCTGTCATCACGATTTTTAAAATTTGTTTTCATTCAGATGAAGAAAGTAAAATAAGCAAGAGTCATGCTGCTATTCTTCATTTTATTTCCCAACATGGAGAAATGTTTTAATCCACTTCTCCAGAAAAAAGTACTGGTAAACGTGATTGATTAACTGAATCTTTTATCTTGTTTTTAATTTTCTTGATTCGTATCTATGAATACCTGCTCCAGATACAATATCTCCTTTTCTAGGAGACTGATAGTCATGCTAGAATGCAGACTGAAGACAGTACTGTTTGACTCTTAGTATCCAATGACAGAATCTCCTACAGAATATTAGCAAACAGGTGAATGGGGCAAAATGGATACATTGTTTAAAGCTAATGATATGACAGGTATAATTAGAGTACAAAAAAACTTCTTGGAAAAATTTAAAGTGTTTAACTCTAGCAAGAGATTATTTTTCCAGCTTCCATGTGTTTTTAACAGGGAAGACCAGTTAAGACAATTCACATTATATTTAATAATTTATAATGTAACCAATTTATTATCAGTGTTATCTTAGATGGAAAAACAGTAAAATGAGATTTTCTATATTGGGTAAAGAAAATTCTCACCCACCTTCAGATAGCTAGTGATATGGTAAGATCAGCTCTGGTGTTGGTTTTGAATTCAAAGGCCCAGTAAACTGATACCCCCATTCACACAATTCTTTTATAGTGTGCTACATCTAGAGCAGGAGAAGGAATTACCAATTCATGTTTAATCTTTGCTGGATACTTTACATAAGTTATATCACTTAATCTTTACAATGGCCCTGCAAGGTAGTTGTTATATCATTAATAAAAAATTAAGATTCGGGAAGGTTAAAAGAATTGCCCAGGAACACACAGCTGGAAAATGCAAAGCTGAGCTCCAAACCCAAGTTTCTCTGCCTCTCAAGTCCATGTTCTTTGTAACAATCTACACAGCTCCCAGGGTCTATGGTGTATTGGAAAACAGCTATCTGCTTTGTCATGGAAGGTGGGGAAATCATTAAGAGTTTGGGGCCATCACCAACTACCAACTAACTGTGAATTCAAGCCAGCTATTTTACTTTTGTTTCTTCACTACAAACATTAGGAGTTAGACTACAAGATCTGTAAGCACTTCTGCCACGTCTAAAAGAAATGTGTTATGTGGCCTGTTACACAAAACACAATTATATATATATATATATGTTTTGCTCATTCATTGCTCAATCATTAACTGATTGACTCATTCATTTATTCATTCATTCATTTAACAATCCATCACTTATTTATTTAAAAATGCACTTAATTGTGTTTATTAAATACTCAGGATGTTTTCCTACATATGTTTCCATACAGACCATTTGTGCTCAAGTAAGTTTTTTAAACATTTAGAAAAATGTCAACATAGATGGAGCCTGCCTTGACTTAGTTTCTAGCTACCAAGTACACAAAAGGCTAGGTTTGGAAAGTCGGGTTGCTTATTAATCCTATAGTGCTAATGGGACTGAAATTTCATCTAAGAATGAATGATAACAGTAATAATAATAATGACATAAACAATTACCAATTATTTAAGGCCTCTTGGGGGAAAATGCTCATCAGCCCATTTTAATGGCTTACACATCAAATGCTTTTTGTAATATTTTATAGATACTGATTCAGCAAAGGAATTTGAGAAAGGTCATAAGACACAGAAGGTAGAAAACAGTACAGTCTCAAAATGTGCTACAGATTCTGTCCTGTTCAGTGCCAAGTCAAGGAAGAAGTATTAGCTGTATTATGATGACAAATTATACATCTATTTGGCAATGCTTTGCCCCCATTGGCAATTCTCTTCTGATTCAACTGTAAAAATGTTCACACATTTAATAGATACATTTTGCCAGCAATATATAAAAATATTAATAATTTACTTAATGTCCATTCTGCTGAACCCCCAAAACTATAGACTTGAGTAAATTTATTTCTAAGGAACAGACAACCTTGGAGTCAAGTGAAGAGAATCGCTCTTGTATCATTTCAAAATATTTTAAACTTGAAGCTGCCACTACATTCCCTTGATTAAATAGCAGTCAGCCAGTTTCTGCCAAAAAGAAAAAAAATTAGTTGCATGCAGCAACCAACATAGCATTGAACATTGCACATGGCAGAATTGATAAATGTGCTACTCATAGAGTCAGCAGGATGAGCAATGTACCTGGGTTAACACATTTCAGATTTTCAAATTAATGATTAGAGCTGATTGAGCGTAACAAAAATGGACACTCTGATTGTGAAACTGAAGGAAGATGGAAGAGATGTTTCATTCTCTTTGTAAAAAATAATTCACGAAAAGGAGAACATAATGTAGAAAAGTTATTCTCAGCAAAAGCATATGTTTTCTTCCAACAGAAAATGTCCTATAGAATGCACTTGCTTGCATACCTTGAAGATATTTGTATTGTGTTATTTACCAAAATAATGGCCACATTACAGGGCCAGCTAATACATAAACAAAGAGGGCAACTTCTCTGTTACAGACTTAAACCTCCCTCTCCAAAATATTGACTCCACTAACCTAGCGATGGCTTGAAATTACAGTTCTCCCTTTGAGTTAAAAATTATCTTCCCTGGAGTGCCTGTGAACATACTAATAATTCCAAGAGGTCAAAATAGTAAACCAGCAATAATTTTCCGTCCATAAATTCAAGTAAATGAATGTGTCACTTCATTACAGTAAGACATACGACACAAAACAAGTACATTTTGATAGAAGAAGAGCAGACAAGGGATGAGGCCTGGTCCAGTGGTTGCAAGTCCAGATGGTGTTACATAACGGAGAGAGTCCAGGCGGACATGGTAAAGTGTAAGGACCCATTTTCTCAATGGCAAGGGAGAGATTTGAAAAGGATGATAGAGGAAAGATGGAGACAAATTGTCCCTATATTTCAATTTTGCCTCAGGGAAGCACTGGTGATTCTATTTGGATGCCTTCATATCACTATACTCTGCTTTTCATATTTTTCAAAATTTAAACTTCTTCATTTAAACACTCTGCCCTTTCAAATTTTTCAGAATGATATAGCCCATCCAGAACAAATAGCCCATCCTTGTTACAACAATATTGTTATGAAATTAATTAGAGAAGCTGCTGCTCCAGAAGAAAGATGGCATGTGAAATGGCATAGCTGTTGTTTGGAAAGAAGAGCTGAGAATTCACATTGGTAACAGTTTGTTTTCTCATGCCATTTAAGGGCACAAATGTGAATGTCTCTTGCTCTTGAGTAATCCTTGTGGCTCTTTGTAAGTAGTTTTCAGTGGTGCACCAATGAGAACCCTGAAAAGGAACATCAGACTTGGTCAGTGCCCTTGAAAAGTTCTTCCCACAAAGGACTTTGTTATTAAAGATATTCACAGAACATTTGTCAGTTAATAAGGATAATTTTAAACTCACTTAAAAGATCTTGTCTGAGGCTGGATGCAGTGGCTTTTCCTGTAATCCCAACACTTTTGGAAGCAGAGGCAAGAGGATCGCACGGGCCCAGGAGTTCAAGACCAGGCTGGGCAACAAAGGGAGATCATGTCTCTACAAAAAATAAAAAAAACAGCCGGTGTGGTGGCACACACCTGTGGTCCCAGCTACCTGGGAGGCTGAGGTGGGATGATTGCTTGAGCTCCAGATTTGGAGGCTGCAGTGAGCCATGATTCCACCACTGTGGAGTGACTTATTCCTGGTCTCGAGAAAATAAATTTCTTGTTTAATTCTTTATTTTGCGTGCTTGTGTTTTTGAGTGGCTTTCTCCTATAAATGAAACATAAAGTGACCTGTTTTAGCCATCATTGCTGCTACTAAAGCATGCTGACAAAATAGTACAGGAAGTTGTGCTGGGGAAAAAGTATGTATGAAAGGAAACGTATGAAGGGTGGCAAGCAAAGGACAATCAGAAATGTACCAAGAGTAGAAATGACTATCTTTTCTTTAAAAAAAATCCACAGATCATGAAGATATGAGCTTTGCAGAATATCTCCTCAATTTGGAAGCAAGTCAAAATTGTCAAAGTATTAATTTAAAAGGCTCCTACTAAAAATGAGGGCCCACAGGCTCAGCAGTCAGTGGCACACAACCTCTGGCCTCTAGAAGAGCAGGTACTCCACAATGACTACCTCCTCTTTCCCTTTTTTTTCCAAAAATGTGGAGTTTATTTAGTGTACATGAACTAAGGGTAGGGTATTTGTGAAACACATGAAATTGATAACTGTCTATTTTTTTCTGTTAATTGCTTTTCAATAATCTTGAACTAAGAATGTCTTGAACTAGGAATTTAGCCACTTCTTTTCTGTTCTGTAGATGGATTGAGAATGCAATATTTGCCAGTATGAAGGATATTGGCCCAGAGAACTTTGTGAGAAGGGCATTCCATGAGCACTTGTTACCATATGCCATTTTATTCGTGTTTTAATTTAGGAGAAAAGTGAGTTCTTACTTTCCAACATTGATATTGAAAAACATTGCCCAGTCTCCCACTTGAATTCCAGTTGACCAAGGTCTTAGATCAGGTTCTCTAGAAGCAGAGCCTGAGATATAAACTCCCGTGTAAGTGACTTACTGTAGGTGTGTTCTCAAAAAGATCCTATAAAGGAGTGAAGAAATCAAAATAGGTCAGGGAAAGAGCTAAGTGAAGCTGTGGTGTCAGCTGTAGAGTGGCTTCACCTTGATCCCATAGGGAGCTGAAAGGTTGGATTGTACCTTGAGATAAGATAGGCAGGCTTTGGTATACCACAGTTTCAGTCATTGCCTGCAGGCTGCCCCCACCCCATAGGGTGGGGTGCTGCTCCCCTAGGCAAGGCAGTTCCCCTCTACAAAGATCAATTCCTTCCATAGAATTGTGCATCTGTGAGCCTTTAGCAACTGACATTCACAAAAGTTGGGGAATGGGTGCATCGGTTCAGTAAAGAATATTTAGGTAAGCCCATATCCCTTTAACTCTGAAGCCAGACAGCTAGATTGGGGTAAGGGTTTAGAGCAGTAAGGACAGCCACATTACAGGAATCCTTGTGGACTAGTACTGTTTCCTCATTTCCAGGACTCTGATTTGAGTTCTTATTTGGAAAAATTTCTGACCTAATTACAATATGGCATTTTCCTATAGAAGGGATTCCCAATTGCAATCCCTCAGGTATAATCTTAAAATTACGATATAACCATGAACTACTCTCCATATGCCCTACCAGATAAAAGCTAAATACGGATATGAGATTGTGTTTTGAGATCTCTTTTACACCAAGTTGTAAGATCGAAAGTTTAATTGAAAGTGATTGATTTTCTTTCCATTAAAGCAAACTGTGGTAGGCAACTTCTAAGATGATCCCCAATCATTCTTGCCTCTTCATATCTATACCCTCCCCCTTGAGAGTGGAATAGATCTAATGACTCACTTCTAACGAATAGAATACAGCAAAAGTGATGGGTTGTCACTTCTGAAGTCAGATTTTATAAATATTTCTTCTTCCATCTTGCTCTACCTTTCTCATTCTCTTGCTTTCTCGCTTTGAGGGAAGACTGCTAGCATGTTGTAAATTACTCTATTGAGAGGTTCACATGGCAAGGAAATGAGGGAAACCTATGGCCAACAGTCAGTAAAGAACTGAGGCCTTCAGTCCAATGGACTGTGAGGAACTAAGTCCTTCCAACAACCACTTGAGTGAGCTTGGAAGCAGATACTTTCCCAATTGAGCCTCCAGATGACTGCAGCCCCCACCAACATCTTGACTGCAGCCTTGTGAGAGCCTCTGAGCCAGAGGTCACCCAGCTAAGCTATGCCCAGATTCCTGATTCACAGAAACTGTGAGATAACAAATGTTGTTTTAAGACACTAATTTTTTGAGTAATTTGCTATGCAGTGATTGATAACTAACATATAAGGCTTTGATAATTCTCTTCTGTTGTAAATTTGTCTAAAATCCCTTCTTCTATTCTTTTTTTTATACTTTAAGTTCTGGGATACGTGTGCAGAACGTGCAGGTTTGTTACAAAGATAAACACGTGCCATGGTGATTTGCTGCTCCCATCAATCCGTCATCTACATTAAATATTTCTCCTAATGCTATCCCTCCCCTTGTGCCCCACCCCCCGACAGGCCCCTGTGTGTGATGTTCCCTTCCCTGTGCCCATATGTTCTCACTGTTCAACTTCCACTTATGAGTGACAACATGTGGTGTTTGGTTTTCTGTTCCTGTGTTAGTTTGCTAAGAATGATGGTTTCCAGCTTCATCCGTGTCCCTGCAAAGGACATGAATTAATTCTCTTTTATGGCTGCCTAGTATTCCATGGTGTATATCTGCCACATTTTCTTTATCCAGTCTAGCATTGATAGGCATTTGGGTTGGTTCCAAGTCTTTGCTATTGTGAATAGTGCTGCCATAAGCATACGTGTGCATGCGTTTTTATAGTAGAATGATTTACAATCCTTTGGGTATATACCTAGTAACAGGATTGCTGGATCAAATGGTATTTCTGGTTCTAGATCCTTGAGGAACCACCACACTGTCTTCCACAATGGTTGAACTAATTTACACTCCCACTAACAGTATAAAAACGTTCCTATTTCTCCACATCCTCTCCAGCATCTGTTGTTTTCTGACTTTTTTTTTTTTATATATATACTTTAAGTTTTAGGGTACATGTGCACAATGTGCCGGTTAGTTACATATGTATACATGTGCCATGATGGTGTGCTGCACCCATTAACTCGTCATTTACATTAGGATTTACATTAGGTATATCTCCTAATGATATCCCTCCCCCCTCCCCCCACTCCACAACAGTCCTCAGAGTGTGATGTTCCCCTTCCTGTGTCCATGTGTTCTCATTGTTCAATTCCCATCTATGAGTGAGAACAAGCAGTGTTTGGTTTTTGTCCTTGCGATAGTTTACTGAGAATGATGATTTCCAATTTCATCCATGTCCCTACAAAGGACATGAACTCATCATTTTTTATGGCTGCATAGTATTCCATGGTGTATATGTGCCACATTTTCTTAATCCAGTCTATCATTGTTGGACATTTGGGTTGGGTCCAAGTCTTTGCTATTGTGAATAGTGCTGCAATAAACATACGTGTGCATGTGTCCTTATAGCAGCATGATTTATAATCCTTTGGGTATATACCCAGTAATGGGATGGCTGGGTCAAATGGTATTTCTAGTTCTAGATCCCTGAGGAATCACCACACTGACTTCCACAATGGTTGAACTAGTTTACACTCCCACCAACAGCGTAAAAGTGTTCCTATTTCTCCACATCCTCTCCAGCACCTGTTGTTTCCTGACTTTTTAATGATTGCCATTCTAACTGGTGTGGGATGGTATCTCATTGTGGTTTTGATTTGCATTTCTCTGATGGCCAGTGATGGTGAGCATTTTTTCATGTGTTTTTTGGCTGCATAAATGTCTTCTTTTGAGAAGTGTCTGTTCATGTACTTTGCCCACTTTTTGATGGGGTTGTTTGTTTTTTTCTTGTAAACTTGTTTGAGTTCATTGTAGATTCTGGATATTAGCCCTTTGTCAGATAAGTAGGTTGCAAAAATCTTCTCCCATTTTGTAGGTTGCCCGTTCACTCTGATGGTAGTTTCTTTTGCTGTGCAGAAGCTCTTTAGTTTAATTAGATCCCATTTGTCAATTTTGGCTTTTGTTGCCATTGCTTTTGTTGTTTTAGACATGACGTCCTTGCCCATGCCTATGTCCACAATTGCTTCAAAGAGAATAAAATACTTAGGAATCCAACTTACAAGGGACGTGAAGGACCTCTTCAAGGAGAACTACAAACCACTGCTCAATGAAATAAAAGAGGATACAAACAAATGGAAGAACATTCCATGCTCATGGGTAGGAAGAATCAATATCGTGAAAATGGCCATACTGCCCAAGGTAATTTATAGATTCAATGCCATCCCCATCAAGCTACCAATGACTTTCTTCACAGAATTGGAAAAAACTACTTTAAAGTTCATATGGAACCAAAAAAGAGCCCACATCGCCAAGTCAATCCTAAGCCAAAAGAACAAAGCTGGATGCATCATGCTACCTGACTTCAAACTATACTACAAGCCTACAGTAACCAAAACAGCATGGTACTGGTACCAAAACAGACATATAGATCAATGGAACAGAACAGAGCCCTCAGAAATAACGCCGCATATCTACAACTATCTGATCTTTGACAAACCTGAGAAAAACAAGCAATGGGGAAAGGATTCCCTATTTAATAAATGGTGCTGGGAAAACTGGCTAACCATATGGAGAAAGCTGAAACTGGATCCCTTCCTTACACCTTATACAAAAATTAATTCAAGATGGATTAAAGACTTAAACGTTAGACCTAAAACCATAAAAACCATAGAAGAAAACCTAGGCATTACCATTCAGGACATAGGCATGTTTTCTGACTTTTTAATGATTGCCATTCTAACTGGTGTGAGATGGTATCTCATTGTGCTTTTGATTTGCATTTCTCTAATGACCAGTGATCATGAGCTTTTTTTTTCGTAATTCAGCAAAGTCTCAAGATACAAAATCAGTGTGCAAAAATCACAAGCATTCCTATACACCAATAATAGACAAACAGAGAGCCAAATCATGAGCAAACTCCCATTCACAATTGCTACAAAGAGAATAAAATACCTAGGAAAACAAATTACAAGGGATGTGAAGGACCTCTTCAAGGAGAACTACAAACCACTGCTCAAGGAAACAAGAGAGGACACAAACAAATGGAAAACATTCCATCCTCAAGGATAGGAAGAATCAATATCGTGAAAATGGCCATACTGCCCAAAGTAATTTATAGATTCAATGCTATCCCTGTCAAGCTATCAATGACTTTCTTCACAGAATTAGAAAAAAACTACTTTAAATTTCATATGGAACCAAAAAAGAGTCCGTATAGCCAAGACAATCTTAAGCAAAAAAGAACAAAGCTGGAGGCATCATGCTACCTGACTTCAAACTATACTACAAGCCTACGGTAACCAAAACAGCATGGTACAGGTACCAAAACAGATATATAGACCAATGGAACAGAACAGAGGCCTCAGAAATAACACCACACATCTACAACTGTTTGGTCTTTGACAAACCCCTGACAAAAACAAGCAATGGGGAAAGGAATCCCTATTTAATAAATGGTGTCGGGAAAACTGGCAAGCCATATGCAAAAAACAGAAACTGGACCCCTTCCTTACACCTTACACAAAAATTAACTCAAGATGGATTAAAGATTTAAGTGTAAGACCTAAAACCATAAAAACCCTAGAAGAAAACCTAGGCAATACCATTCAGTACATAGACATGGGCACAGACTTCATGACTAAAACACCAAAAGCAATTGCAACAAAAGTCAAAATTGACAAATGGGATCTAATTAAACTAAAGAGCTTCTGCAGAGCAAAAGAAACTATCATCAGAGTGAACATAACCTACAAAATGGGAGAAAATTTTTGCAATCTATCCTTCTTCTATTCTTAAAATGATGAAGATCAGTGCTTCACAAGTATTTTTGGCAGGTGGTGACATAAATGTTGACAGTGATTGATTATCTGGATTTAAATTTCCATCACTGTTTTCATAGGATGTACAGGAGTTTTATGTAAATGTGTGAAGAAAGAGCCTAAATTTGATACAGAAAACTCCCAAAACATAAACGGAAAGCTCTTTTGCCTAAAATATAGATAATATCAGTGTTCTTTAATGCCATCCTTAATTTCAGTGAAATTTGTTTGTATTTATTACAACTTATGAGCATCAATGATAATACATTCATTTTTTTCTCGAAGACATCCTGATGAAGCACTAAGAATTTTCACAATGGCAAAAAATCAAACATTGTTGAAAACGAAGAGACAAAAAGAAATCTAAGAGACTAAAAAGCAGAATAGTAAGTAGAGTATTTGCAATTCTTACCAACTATTTTTATGTTGTCTGTCCCCATGTGGTGAAAAGATATGAGTCCTTGTGATATTTTGAAAATTCTTTTGGAGGTACTTTTTAATGCATGATTCATAAAAGTTAGCTTGATCCTTAACAATAACGAGAATAGGCTTTTTGAATTACTTTGAAATTTCTCTAATCCTGGATTCAGCCACTCAAGAGTCATATTGTTGCAGTCAACAATAGCCTCTCAGACCTAACTACTAGATTATTTATTCCCATTCCTGCACATTCATTCCAAAATCAAACAAATGAAAATGCCTAACCTTTAAGAAAATGATTCCAGAATTGAAAGTGCTCTTACATAGGTTATCTCATCCTAGTCCCTTAGGCAATGACTCCACTGGTTTTAAAAGGCACATACCTTTTTTGTGGCTTTCAAATGGCAAGTAATAGGTTTTATTTGATAACTTTATGATTAATTATTTATGACAGAATATTCTACCATAAGATGAAATGATTACATAAGCAGGAAATCTAGTACCATGTTAGACATTTTCTACAAATAGAGTGGGTGCTTCACTTACTCATTCAACAAGCATTCAGTTGAACACCATTATGTCTAGGCACTGGAATTACAAAGACGAATAAGATATTTAAACAGATAGCTACAATTTTAAGTATGCACAGGTATGCACAAGTACTTATACCAGACTGAAGGGAAAATCTTGTTGAATGAGAAATAATTATGCAGGTAAATATGTGTGTTGGTGAATGTGGGGGTTGAGAGCATTCCAGAAAGAGTTGGCAGCATGAGTTAAGATTCAAAAGCAGGGAAAAGTATGCTATGTTCCAGGAATCCAGACCAGGTCAAAAACATAAAATTCCTTAGCAACCCTGGGAAACAATTTTCACCAATTACCAAGGAAAAGCAAAAATTTTAAACCAAAAGCTCTCCTTATAGCCCACATATCTTTTATACTATATTGTTTATGTTGAAATTTATTATATGAAAAATATATATAAACTCATGCAATTCTGAGGATTTAACAACCTGTTTTTTATATCCATAAAGTCTTGTCTAAAGTTATAGATCAATATCTAGATTGAGTCAACTTTATTTGAATCTTCTAATTACAAATAGGGAGCCCTTTGATGGCCAAACCAGGTGAATATCATCCATTGGAGAGTATTTCTTCAGCTAGGGTTTGTTTGTTATTTTTGTGTGTGCTGTATTATCCAGGATTTTTGCAAGAAATTTCTTTATTCTACTCCAAAATATCACCTTTCTAATCAAGTGCTATGTTGTTCTAAGGCAAAGACTGCCAATTCTATCCAAAATATATTTGCTTAGCTGCTTGATTAATTTCTCTCACACCATTTATTATATCACAGCCTTTCAACTTTTAGGTCATACTTGACAATATTGTGATGGGGATTGAGTCTCATTGGCCTTAAATTTGGCCCAGAGAATAACTTCATGCTGAGAAATTGAAGACAGCAGTGAAAGAACTAAATTAAGTGAAATTAAAATCCCACAAATGTAATGTATGTTTGTAGAAATCTTTCTATTTATCTATTTATTTGTATAAATTTATAGGGTACAAGAGTAATTTTGTTACATGAATTGTTTGTCTGGTGGTGAAATCAGGGCTTTTAGGATATTGATCACCTGAATAATATACATTGTACTCATGAAGTAATTTCTCATCATCCACTCCCACTTGCCCAACCTTCCTAGTCTCCATTGTCTATCATTTCCCACTCTATGTGCATGTGTATGTACACATTATTTAGCTCCCACTTACAAGTGAGAACATGCAGTATTTGTCTTTCTGGGTCTGAGTTGTTTCACTTAAGATAATGACCTCCAGTTCCATCAATGTTGCTGCAAATAACATGATTTCATTCTTTTTTATGACTGCATAGTATTTTCCTCAATGTATATGCCACATTTTATGTATCCAGTCATCCAATGATGTACACAGATTGATTCCATATCTTTGTTACTGTTAATAGTGTTGCAATAAACATACAAGTGCAGTTGTCCATTCGATATAATGATTTATTTTCCAGGTAGATACCAGGTAAGGAGACTGCTAGGTCAAAAGGAACTTCTATTTTTAGTTCTTTGAGAAATCTCCATACTGTTTTCTACAGAGGTTGAAATAATTTACATTCCCACCAACAGTGTAAAAGCATTCCCTTTTCTCCACATTCTCACCAGTATCTGTTTTTTTTTTTTTTTTTTTTTTTTTTGTCATTTTAATAGTTAGTCATTCTGACTGGTGTAAGATGATACGTCACTGTGGTTTTAATTTGCATTTCTCTGATGATTAGTGATGATGAGCATTTTTCATATGCTTGTTAGCAATTTATTTCTATGCTTTCTTTTGAAAAACGTCTATTCATGTTCTTTGCCCACTTTTTAATGGGGTTATTTGTTTTATTTTTGTTGTTGTTGAATTGAATTCCTTATAAATTCTGGATATTAGTCCCCTGTCAGATATGTAGTTTGCAAATATTTTCTCTGATTCTGCAGGTTGTCTGTTCACTCTGTTGATGATTTCTTTTCTTGTGCAGATGCTTTCTAGTTTAACTAAGTTCCATCTGCCTATTTTTGTTTTTGTTGTCTGTGCTTTTGAGGTCTTAGTCTTCAATTGTTTGCCTAGACGAATGTCCAGAAGAGTTTTTCCTAGATTTTCTTCTAGTATTTTTATAGTTTAAAGTCTTACATTTAAGTCTTCCATACATTTTTAGTTGACTTTTGCATATGTTGAGAGATAGGGGTCCAGTTTCACTTTTCTGCATACGGCAACCCAATTTTCCCAGCACCATTTATTGAAATGGGTGTCCTTTTCTCAGTGTATTCTCATTGACTTTGTCAAAGATCAGTTAACTGTAAATTTGTGGCTGTATTTCTGGGTTCTCTTCTGTTACATTGATCTATGTGTTTATTTCTATAATATTATCATGCTGTTTTGGTTACTACAGCCTTGTAGTATAATTTGATGTCAGATAATGTGATGCCTCTGGCTTTATTCTTTTTACTTAGGATGGCTCTGGCTATTGGGATCTTTTTTGTTTCATTTGAATTTTAGGATTGTTTCCTCTTATTTTGTGGAAAATAATGCTGATATTTTGATAGGGATTGCATTTAATCTGTAGATTGTTTTTGCAAGTATGGTCATTTAAACAATATTAATTCTTCCTATTCTACCAAACTTAAACAGAACAATGAATACTAATCCTCCTGAAATTGTTTCAAAAGTCTAAAAGGAGAGAATGCTCTTTAAGTCATTCTACAAAGCCAGTATCACCCTGATACCAAAACCAGACAAGAACAAAACAAAAAAAGAAAACTACAGACAAATACCCCAGTGAACACAGATGCAAAAATCCCCAACAAAATAGTAGCAAACCAAATCCAACAGCCCATGAAAAAGACAATACACCATGTTAAAGTGGGTTTTATACCAGGCATGCAAGGATGGCTTGATATATGCAAAACAATAAATGTGATACATCACATAAAGAGAGTGAAGGACAAAAACCATATGATTATCTCAATAGATGCATAAAAAGCATTTGTAAAATTTAGCATCACTTCATGATAAAAAACTTTCAAAAACCTAGGATAGAAGAAAAATACTTCAAAATAATAAAGGCCATATACAAGAAACCCACAGTCAACATCATACTAAAGGGGAAAAAGTTGAAAGCATTCCCTCTAAGAACTGAAACAAGACAGGATGCCTGCTTTCACTATTCTTATTCAATATAGTGCTGGAAGTCCTAGCCAGAAAAATCACACAAGAGAAAGAAATAAAAATTATCCAAATTGGAAAACAGGAAGTCAAATTATCTGTGTTCACTGATGATTTGACTTTACATATAGAAAATCCTAAAGACTCCACCAAAAAATTTTAAGATTTGATACGTGAATTCAGTAACATTGCAGGATACAAAATCAGTGTACAATAATCAGTAGCATTTACATATGCCAATAAAAATCTAAATAAGAACCAAATCAAGAATGCAATCCCATTTACAATAGCTACAAACAAATAAAATACCTAGGAATATATTTAACCAAGGAGGTGAAGAATCTCTAAAAAGGAAAACTACAAAACAGTGATGAAATAATTCATAGACAATACAAACAAATGGAAAAAGATCCTGTTTATTTTTATCTCTCCAAAAATATCATTTATAAACAATTTAGTAAAAAAAAGATTGAACACATTTTCTTTTTTTGTTTTTCATGAGCTTTCTAGTAACTCATTTTTCTGTTGGAGAAAGAGTTCATCATTAATTTAAAACACTTACCTGTAGGTGGCAACTCCGTAGTATGTCAAATATGCTTTCATTAAAAGTAGTAATATAATTAGAGGTTTTACTTCTCCACATTTTTAACAAGAAAAGAAATCTATGTGTAATGTAATGACTTAAGGGTTCATTTGATTAGGAGTATATTTTATGAAACAAAAAAATCAAATAAAAAATGCTAGATTTCTTTTTCAATATGAACAATACTTATTTTCCTTGAAATTGAAGATATCAAATGAATATTGCTCATCTTTTCATTAATCTATAATGGTTAAGTTTGTAGAAAATAAACACTATTAGCAAATGAGTGCATATTTGCATAATTTCTCAGAAATGCATAGAAATGAGTAAAAGAAACTAAAGCTAAGAAGAAAATCCCATCAAAAGTGAAGCAATGGAAGCCATCACAATCCCTTTATCACTGATTTCAAAGAAATATCTTTCATATAAAATAAAATTTGGATCAAACTAAAAAAGGATTCCAAGACTGATACACAGTGTAGGGTGAAGTTATTAGATGATAAGCGGCAAAACTATTGAAGAGCCATACCAAAATTCCTGAACCTGAAAATAAGGACTAAGGAATGTTGGCAGGATACTGTGGGAACATTCCACTGGGAGTCAGTTTCTACCCAGCAGCATTATAAGGGAGTTAGGGCTAAAGGAAAGTCTACCATGTGGTTACATTACTTTTATTTTTCGATATTCTGTTTTGAGCCAATTAGAATAGCCCAGAGGTGGGAGAGAAAAAGATGAGGAAATAGCAATGTGCTAACTAGGTGGAATGTGATTAAGGTGAAGAGAGACAAAGATAATCTTGTAGCAAAATATACAGCTGCTTGATAAAGTTTACTGAACGGAGATGAGTAACATCAAACAGACAACTACAAAACAAAAACAAAATGTCTTGGAGCATAAAGTCCTCACATAAGAACCCAGAGAAACAAAATATGTTTTTCTATTTCCCACCTGCCTCAAATATAGTACTGAATAATCAACTGGAGCACAGAGTATCCAAAACTTCGGTGAGGAACCATTTGAATTACATCCATGTACCACCTGCTGCCTCAGCTCACCAGCCCTGTTTTGCAAACAGCCAAATGACTGTACCAAAAAATGCATATCTCCCTCCTAGCAGAATAATTCAAGTTTTTGCTCAGGAAAGATATTATGATCAAGCAGGATAATTTATAATATTTTCCAGTGACTAAAATCTTGGGTACTATTGCATCATTATTATAAAAATAATAAGCTGGAAAGAGCAGTATAAAACTTTTTCAAAAGTACTATACAAGATAAATTATATACATATTAAAGGAGGAATTCTTCAAGGACACAGAAAAAATTAACAAAAACCTTTTTTGTATTATAGAAATTTAAAAACATGAATTATTTGATATAAGAAATCCAAAGAAATATCCAAATTAGAAAAATGGATGGTGGTGGTGGTTGCACAACATTATGAACACATTTAATATCACTGAACTGTACACTTAAAAATAGCTAAGGTGGTACATTTTATGAGTATTTTACAATAAAAAAATTGGAAAAAATATATTAAAACAGTGAAACTAAATTGTTTAAAAGGAACTGGTAGGTGGAAGGTGCAGCGAAATGACTGAATAGAAGCCTCCACCAATCATTCCCTACAAAAACAAGCACTTAACAACTATCTACTCACAAAAAAGTACCTTCATAAGAACCAAAAATCAGGTGAGCTCTCACAGTACCTGGTTTTTAACTTATCACTGAAAGAGACACTGAAAAGGTAGAAGTAACAGTCTTGAATTGCTGATGCCATCCCTACCCCATCCCCTGGCAGGGGCAGGGTGGTAGAGAGAGTATTTGTGTGTGCTGGAGGAGGGAAAACACAGCACTTGTGAAGCGCTGAACTCAGTGCTGTCCTGTTATAGCAGAAAGGAAAACTGGACCAAACTCAACTAATGCCTGCACACCAAGGGAGCATTTAAACCAGCCCTAACCAGAGGGGAATCGCTGGTGCCACTTGTTAGACTTTGAGTTCCACAAGACTTGCCACCATGGGCTACAGTGCTCTGGGGCTATAAATAAACATGAAAGACAGTCTAGGCCACATGGACTGAAACTGCTGGAAGAGTCCAAGTACTGAACTGCGCCAAGAGACAGTGGAATAGGGGGCACGTGACCTACTAAGACACCAGCAAGGGTGGCTAAGGGAGTGTTGGCATTGCCTCCCCTAACCCCAATCTGCACAGCTCATGGGTCCAAAGGAGATTCCTTTCTTCCACTTGAGGAGAGGAGAAGGGAAACTGTAGAGGACTTAGTCTTGTTTCTTGGATAACAGCTCAGCCACAGCAGGATAGGGCACCAGTCAGAGCTGTGAGGACCTCTTTCAAGGCCCTAGCTCTGGATGACATTTCTAGATACACCCTGGACCAGAAAAGAACTCACTGCTTTGAAAGAATGTACCCATTAGAGAGGGAAGGGGTAGTGCCACACTTTTAAACCATTATGTCTTGTGAGAACTCACCAACTATCATGAAAACAACAAGGGAGGAATCACCCTCATGATCCAATCACCTCCCACCAGGTCCCTAACCCAACACTGAGGATGACAATTCAATATGAAATTTGGGTGGGGACACAGAGCCAAAATATATCATTCCACCCTGGCCCCTCCCAAATCTTATGTCCTTCTCACATTTCAAAACCAATCAGGCCTTTCCAACAGTTCCGCAGTTCCGCAGTCTTAACTCATTCCAGTGTTAAACCAGAAGTCCAAGTCCAAAGTCTCATCTGAGACAAGGCAAGTCCCTTCTGCCTATGAGCCGGTGAAATAAAAAACAAGTTAATTATTTCCAAGATACAATGGAGGTACAGACATTGGGTAAATGCTCCCATTCCAAATGGGAAAAAAATGGCCAAAACAAAGAGGCTCTGGATCCCATGCAAGTCTGAAGCCCAGCAGGGCAGTCATTAAATCATAAAGCTCCAAAATAATCACCTTTGACTTCACGTTTCAGATTCAGGGCTCGCTGATGCAAGGGGTGGGCTCCCAAGGCCTTGAGCAGCTCTGGTCCTGTAGCTCTGCAGGCTACCACCCCTTTGGTTGCTTTCACAGGGAGGTGTTAAGTGCTTGCAGCATATCCAGAGCACAGTGCAAGCTGTTGGTGGAACTGCTAAAACCATTCTGGGGTCTGGAAGATGGTGTCCTTCTTCTCACAGCTCCCTGAGGCAATGCCCCAGTAGGAACTCTGTGTGGGGGTTCCAACCCCACATATTCCCTCCACAGTGCCTTAGCAGAAGTTCTCCATGAGGGCTCTGCCCCTGCATCAGACTTCTGCCTGAACATTCAGGCATTTTCATACACCCTCTGAAATCTAGGTGGAGGCTCCCAAACTTCAACTCTTGCCTTCTGTGTGCCCAAAGGCCAAACATGACATAAAAGCCATGAAGTCTTCGGGCTGCCCCTCTGAAGCCAGGGCCTGAGCTGTACATTGGCCCCTTTTAGCCAAGGCTGGCGCTTGAGGAGCAGGGATGCAGAGTGCTGTGTCCTGAGGCTGCACAGCCTGGGCCTGGCCCAGAAAACCATTTTTCCCTCCTAGGCCTCTGGGTCTGTGATGGGAGGGGATGCCATGAAGATTGCTAAAATGCCCTGGAGACATTTTTCCCCCTTGTCTTGGCTATTAACATTTGGCTCCTTGTTACTTACGCTGATTTCTGCAGCAAGCTTGAATTTCTTCCTGGAAAATGGGTTTTTCTTTCCTACCACAGGGCCAGCCTGCAAATTTTCCAAAATTTTATGCTCTACTTCCCTTTTAAATATAAGTTTCAGTCTCAGATAATCTTTTTTCAAATATATGAGCATATGCTTTTAAAAACAGCCAGGTCACATCTTCAATGCTTTGCTGCTTAGAAACGTTTTATGCTAGGTACCCTAAATCATCTCTCTTAAGTTCAAAGTTCCACAGATCTATAGGGCAGGGGCAAAATGCCACCAGTCTCTTTGCTAAAGCATAGCAAGAGCGACCTTTACTCCAGTTCCCAGTAAGTTCCTCATTTCCATCTAAGACCACCTCAGCCTAGACTTCATTGTCTATATTACTATCAGCATTTTGGTCAAAACCATTCAACAGGTTGCCATAAAGTTCCAAACATTCCCACATCCTCCTGTCTTCTTCTAAGCCATCCAAACTGTTCCAGCCTCTGCCCATTACCCAGTTCCAAAGCTGCTTACACATTTTTCAAGTATCTTTATAGCAGTGCCCTACTCTCAGTATCAATTTTCTGTATTAGTCCATTCTTACACTGCTATAAAGAACTACCTGACACTTGGTATTTTATGAAGCAAAGAAGTTTGATTGACTCACAGTTCTGCAGGCTTAACAGGAAGCATCAGTGGGAGGCCTCAGAAACTTACAATTATGGCAAAAGAGAAGGGGAAGCAAGGACTTTCTTCACATGGTGGCAGGAGAGAGGGAAGGGAAGTGCCACACTTTTAAACCATCAGATGTCATGAGAACTCACTCAATGTCATGATAACAGCAAGGGGGAAACTGCCACCATAATCCAATCACCTCCCACCAGGTCCCTCCCCCAACACTGGGATTACAATTTAACATGAGATTTGAGTGAAGACACAGAGCCAAACCATGTCACTATTTTATGCTAAAAGGGTTTTTCCTTCAGCACTTCACATATGTAATGCCACTCTCTTCTGGACTGTAAGGTCTCCACTGAGAAGTCTGTTGCCAGGCATATTGGAGCTTCATTGTACTTTATTTGTTTCTTTTCTGTTGCTTCTTTTAGAAATCTTTCTTTTTCCTTGACCTTTGGGAGTTTGATTATTAAATGCCTTAAGGTAGAGTTCTTTGGGTTCAATCTGTTTGGTATCCGTAACCTTCTTGTACTTGGATATTGATATATTTCTCTAGGTTTGGGAAGCAATCTGTTATTATCCCATTCTCTTATCACTCCTATTGCTTTCTCTACTTCCTCTTTCAGGCCAATCACTCTGATTTTTCCATATGAGGCTATTTTCTAGATCCTGTGGGCATGCTTCATTGCTTTATATTTTTTTCTTTTGTCTCCTTAGTGTAGTTACAAATAGCCTATATTCAAGCTCACTAATTCTTTCTTCTGCTTAATTATTTCTGCTATTAAAAGACTCTGATGCATTCTTCATATGCCAATTGCATTTTTCAGCTCCAGAATTTCCGTTTGATTTTTAGTTATTTCAACCTCTTTGTTAAATGTATCTGATAAAATTTTGAATTCTTTCTGTGTTATCTTGAATTTCTTTGTATTTTCTCAAAACAGCCATTTTGCATTCTCTGTCTGGAAGGTTAGATGTCTTTCTCCAGTATTTGTGCCTGGCACCTTATTTAGTTTGTTTGGTGAGGTTATGTTTTCCTGGTTTGTCTTGATACTTGTAGATGCTCATCTGTGTCTGAGCGTTGAGGAGTTAGGTATACATATTAAAATATTCCTTACCTTAAAATGAATTCAAGATGAATAAAATATTTAGAATTTTAAAATAACGTATAAAAATAGTATGAAAATATAGAAGACTTTTCTAATCTTAAGGTGGTAGTGTGACTCAAAAGCCAGAAACAGGAGAAAAGCCAAGATAGCTGAGTAGATGGAGCCAGGAAGGTCATCTCCCACCAAGAGCCCAGACCAACAAAAAGACCGGCACACTCCAAGCAGATTTTCAGGTAGAATGCATTGAGAGTGGACTGAGAGAAAAGGCCACATGAGCTGAATGGGGAGGAAGCTGTGAATCCTCCATGGAGCTGCCAAGCACCAGGACTCATTTCTGGCCCCCAGCAGCTCATGGGGAAAGGATGAGTTAAATAGATGAGAAATGTCCCACTGTCACCATGGATCTCTGAAATACTAGCTGCAGGAGACCCCATTACCCCCAGGGATATCTGAATTGAGAAGAAAGCTGCCTTGAGAGGTGGCTGGTAAAGGACTTCAGCCTATGTGGAGCTCAGAGAGTTCTGTGTGGGAATGACTGTAGTGGGGCATGGCCAGGGATGCCAATGCCCCAAGGCTTGCCATGCTTCTCTAGGTGGCTTTGGGCTTTGCAGACTGTGAGTCCTGGACAGCACAGGGCAGTCTTGCCTGTGGGATGGGGCCAGTCTAAACTGAGCACCCCACTGCCTGCCGGCCTCTCCCAGAGTCCCTGTCAGGCTGTGCACACTTGCAGCACAGCCTCAGATGCCCAAACGGGGTGTCTTCTGGGAAGCCACTGCCATAGATCCTTTACTGGCCCGACCATTGGAGAGCTTCAGCAGATGGGCCTTCACCAGTGAATACCCACCTACAGGTTCACACCATTGCTTTGATGGTGTGCACTCACCTAAAACCTCCCCCCACTGCTTTGCCAGTGCACATGCCCATGGAACTCGCGACCACCACACCAACCCCACAGGAGCGTGCACACAGATGCTGCTGCCCCACCCATGCCGGAGCACATGTACCCCATCATGCTGCCCATACTGCTGGCAAACAAACAGGTGCAATCCCTGCTACCCGGCTGCAGCCAGCATGCACATGTGAGGGCAGATCCCTCAGCCACCACCCTGATGACACACTTTTGTTGGCACCCCTTATTGGAATGTTGTTGCTAGTGGACCAAAAAACAAAAACAAAAACAAAAACAAAACAAAACAAAACAAAAAAAAACACTTTGGCTTCGCCGGTGCACCAGGTGCTTAATGAGAAGGTGTCAGAAAACAAAGCCATGGTACTGGAACCAGCCCCCAGGGTTAGAACTCACAGCCTAGGAATGCTAAGCTGAGCTTTGGCCCCCTGATATCATCCAGAAATGAAGACAGTCAATTGAACCAAACTTATACCCACAGCCAAACACTGAAGGGCACCAAAGATTCTAAAAGAAAAAAAAAAAACCCTATCCAAAGGACAGCAACTTCAACAATTAAAGAAATATCAGCTCACACAAATGAGAAACAACCCGTGCAAGAACTTTGGCAACTCAAAAAGCCAGAATGTGTTCTTACTTTGAAATGATCACACTAACTCCACAGCAATGGTTCTTAACTAGGTGGAAATGGCTGAAAAGACACACAGAATTCAGAATCTGGATAGCAACAAAGATCGTTGAGATTCAGAAGAAAATTGAAACCCAATCCAAGGAAAACAAGGAATACAATAAAACAATACAAGAGCTGAAAGATGAAATAGCCATTTTTCAGAAAGAACCAAACTGATCTGACAGAGCGGAAAAACTCACTACAATAATTTTATAATACAATTATAAGTATTACTTGCAGAATACACCAAGTTGACGAATGAATATCAGAGCTCAAAGACAGGTCCCTCGAATCAACTCAGTCAGATGAAAATAAAGTTAAAAGAATAAAGAAGAATTTTTTTAAAACTCTGAAAAATATGAGCTTATGTAGAGACCAAATCTATGACTCACTGACATCCCTGAAAGAGAAGGAGAGACAGCAAACGACTTGGAAAACATATTTAGGATATTGTTCAGGAAAATTTCCCCTAACTTTCTAATGAAGTCAACATTCAAATTCAGGAAATTCAAAGAACCTCTCTGAGATACTATACAAGACAATCATCCCCAAGACACATAGTCATCAGATTATCCAAGGACAAAATGAAATATATATATATATATATATATATATATATATATATATATATATATATATACATATTTAAGGCAATTAAAAAGGTGGGTCTGGTCACCTACAAAGAGAACCCTGCCAGGCTACATGCCACAACAGATTGGGGACCTATATTCTGCATTCTTAAAGAAAAGAAATTCCAACCAAGAATGTCGTATTCACCCAAATTAACCTTCATAAGCAAAGGAGAAATAAAATCCTTCTCAGACAAGCAAATGCTGAGGGAATTTATTGCTTCCATACATGCTTTACGAGAGGTCCCTTAAGGTCCAATACTAAACATGGAAATATACGACCATTACTGGCTACCACAAAACCCACTTAGTACATAGACCACTGAAAGTATAAAGCAATCACACAATAAAGTCCGCATAACAATGAGCTAAAATGATGAAAGAGTCAAACAAGCAAATATCAGTATTAACCTTGAATATAAATAGGCTAAATGCTCCATTTAACGGGCACAGAGTGGCAAGTTGGATAAAGAAGCAAAGTCCAACCATATGCTATCTCCAACAGATACATCTCACATCCAAGGAGAAAACATAGGTTCAAAGTAAAAGGATAGAGAAAAATCTACCAAGCAAACAAAAACTAAAAAGAGAAGCAATTGCTATTATAATTTTATTCAAAACAGACTTTAAACCAACAATGATCAAAAAGACAAAGAAGGGCATTACACAATAATAAAGAATTCAATTCAATAAGAAGACATAACTTTTCTAAATATATATGCACCCAACAATGGAGTACCCAGATTCATAAAACAAGTTCTTAGAGACCTATAAAGAGACTTAGATTACCACACAATAATAGCTGGAGTCCCCAACACCCCACTGACAGTATTAGACAGATTATCAAGGCAGAAACATAACAAAGATAAATTCGAGACCTAAATTCGAGAACTGACCAAATAGGCCTAACATCTACCTAAAACTTCACCCAAAAAGAATACAATACACATTCTTCTCATGTGCACATGGAACGTATCTTTTTTTTCTCTTTTTTCTTCAACCTTTATTTTAAGTTCAGGAATACATGTGAAGGATGTGCAGTTTTGTTACATAGGTAAACCTGTTCCATGGTGCTTTGCCACACATATCAACCCATCACCTAAGTATTAAGCCCAGCTTCCGTTAGCTATTCTTCCTGATGCTCTCTCTCTCCCTAACCCCTCAGCAGGTCCCAGTGTGTGTTGTTTTCCCCATGTGTCCATGTGTTCTCATCGTTCAGCTCCTACTTATGAGTGAGAACATGGTTTTCTCTTGCTGTGTTAGTTTGCTGAGGATAATGGCTTCCAACTCCATTCATGTCCTGCAAAAGACATGATCTCGTTCCTTTTTATGGCTGCATAGTATTCCATGGTGTATATGTACCACATTTCCTTTATCCAGTCTATCATTGAGGGGCATTTGGGTTGATTCCATGTCTTTGCTATTGTGAACAGTGCTGCAATGAACATATGCATGCATGTATCTCTATAGTAGAATGATATATATTCCTTTGGGTAGGTACTCAGTAATGGGATTACTGGGTCAAATTTCTGCCTCTAGATCTCTGATGAATCACCATACTGTCTTCCACAGTGGTTGAACTAATTTACACTCCCACCAACAGTGTAAAAGTGTTCCCTTTTCTCCGCAACCTCGCCACTATCTGTTGTTTGTTGACTATTTAGTAATCGCCATTCTGACTGGAGTGAGGCGGCATCTCATTGTGGTTTTGATTTGCATTTCTCTAACGATCAGTGATGTTGAGCTTTTTTCATATGTTTGTTGGTTGCATGAATGTCTTCTTTTGAGAAGTGTCTGTTCATGTCCTTTGACCACTTTTGAATGGGGCTGTTTGTTTTTTTTCTTATAAATTTGTTTAAGTTCCTCATAGACTCTGGATATTAGACCTTTGTCAGATGGATAGATTGCAAAACTTTTCTCCCATTCTGTAGGTTGTCTGTTCACTCTGATGATAATTTCTTTTGCTGTACAGAAGCTCTTTAGTTTAATTAGATCCCATTTGACAACTTTTGCTTTTGTTGCAATTGCTTTTGGAGTTATTGTCATGAAATCTTTGCCCATGCTTATAGTTTGATTTTATTACTAGTGTGGTTTTGTTAACCATTTTCAATTTTTTTCTCTGGCAAATTATCTGTTCATGTCTTCTGCTCAATTTTTTAATGGCCATCATACCTGTTTTCTTATTTGTTTAAGAGAAGTTCTTTGTTTTATATACACGTTACAATATTTCTATTTCTGCCTGACATTTTGTTGTTGTTGTTGCTTCCCAGGCTGGTCTCAAATTCCTGGGCTCAAGTCATGCTCCCATTGAGAACTGGAATAAGAAACTGCCCATCCAATATGTGGGTTTGTGACATATGGCTCTTATTGATTTGATGTATGTGTCATCAATGCCTAGTTTGTTGAGGGTTTTTTTTTTTAACATGAAGGAATGCTGAATTTTATCAAACGCCTTTTCTGCATCTATTGAGATAATCATGTGTTTTCTGTTTTTAGTTCTGTTTATGTGATGAATCACATTTATTTATTTGCATATGTCGAAACAATCTTGCATTCCAGGGACAAAGCCTACTTGATTGTGGTGGATTATCTTTTTGATGTGCTGCTGGCCTCAGTTTGCTAGTAGTTTGTTGAGAATTTTTGCATCTATGTTCTTCATGGATATTGGTCTGAAGTTTTGTGAGCGTGTGTCTGTGTGTGTGTGTATGTGTGTGTGTATGTGTGTGTGTGTGTGTCTGTCAGGTTTTGGGATCAGAATCATGCTAGCCTCATAGAATGAGTTAGTGAGGATTTCCCTTTTCTCATTTTTTTGGAATATTTTCAGTAGGAAATGTACTAGCTCTTTTTCACCTGCCTGGTAGAATTATGCTTTGAATCTATCTGGTTCTGGGGTTTTTTCTGGCTTTTTGTCACCAATTCAATTTCAGAACTCATTATTGGTATGTTCAGGGGTTCAATTTCTTCATGGTTCAATCTTGGGATGTTGTATGTTTCCAAGAATTTTTCCGTATTGTTCTAGGTTTTCTAGTTTGTGTACACAGAAGTTCACAATAGTCTCTGAGATACCATCTGTATCTCTGTGGGGACAATAGTAGTGTCCCTTTTGTTATTTCTGATTGTGTTTGTTTGAGTCTTTCTTTCTTTCTTTCTTTCTTTTCTTTCTTTCTTTTTCTTTCAACAGTCTAGCTAGCAGTGTATCAATCTTATATATTCTTTCAATAAAGAAACTTTTTATTTTGTTGATCTTTTGTATGATTTTTCACATTTCAAATTCTTTCAATTCAGCTGTAATTTTGGTTATTTCTTGTCTTCTGCTAGCTTTGGGGTTGGTTTGTGCTTTCTTCTGTCAGTGTGATGTTAGGTTTTTATTATGAGATCTTTCTAAATTTTTTATGTGGCAATTCATGATTAAACTTCATCTTAACGCTATTATAGCTGTGTCCCAGAGATTCTGGCAGGATCTACATTTGTTTTCACTAGTTTCAGAGAATTTCTTGATTTATGCCTTAATTTCATTGTTTACTAAAAAGTAATTCAGAAGCAGTTTGTAGAATTTCCATGTAATTTAAGGTTTTGAGATCTTCTTTGTATTGATTTATATTTTTATTGCACTGTGGCCCGTGAGTGGGTTTGGTATGATTTCAATTGTTTTAAATTTGTTGAGAATTGTTTTGTGACCAAGTGTGCAGTTAGCCTTAGAAATGTGCCATGTGCAGAGATACAACAAAAAAAGAAAACTTCAGGCCAATATCCCTGATGAACATGAATGCAAAAATCCTCAATAAAATGGCAAACAAAATCCAACAGCACATCAAAAAGCTTAACCACCATGATCAAGTTGGGTTCATACCCAGGATGGAAGGGTGGTTCAACATATGCAAAACAATAAATGTAATTCATCACATGAACAGAATTAAAGACAAAAACCACATATGTCAGTAGACACAGAAAAGCCCTTCGATAAAATTTAACATCTCTTCATGTTAAAATCTCTCAATAAACTAGGTATTGAAGGAACATACCTCAAAATAATAAGAGCCATATATATAAACCCACAGCTAATATCATATTGAATGGGCAAAAGCTAGAAGCATTCCCCTTGAAAACAGGCACAAGACAAGGATGCCCTCTCTCACCACTCATATTCAGCACAGTATTGGAAATTCTGGCCAGGGAAATCAGGCAATGGAAAGAAATAAAGGGTATGCAAAGAGGAAAAGAGGAAGACAAATTATCTTTGTTTGCAGATGACATGATCCGATATCTAGAAAACCTCATTGTTTCAGCCCAAAAGCTTCTTAGTCTGATGAGCAACTTCAGCAAAGTCTCAGGATACAAAATCAATGTGCGAAAATCGCTAGCATTCCTATACACCAACAACAGGCAAGCAGAGAGCCAAATCATGAATGAACTCCCATTCAAAATTGCTACAGAAAGAATAAAATACCTAGGAATACAGCTACAAATCACTGTTCGAGGAAATCAGAGAGGACATAAACAAATGGAAGAACGTTCCATGCTCATGGATAGTAAGAATCAATATCGTGAAAATAGCCATATTGCCCAAAGTAATTTGTAGATCCAATGTAATTCCCATTAAACTACCATTGACATTCTTCACATAATTAGAAAAAAACTATTTTAAAATTCATATGGAACCAAAAAGGAGCCCGAATAGCCAAAACAATCCTAAGCAAAAAGAACAAAGCTGGAGGCATCACGCTACCTGACTTCAAACTATACTGCAAGGTTACAGTAACCAAAACAGCATGGTACTGGTACAAGAACAGACACATAGACCAATGGAACAGAATAGGGAACTCAGAATAAGATGGCACACCAAGCAATAGGGCAAGTATTCCCTATTAATAAATGGTGCTGGAGAACTGGCTAGCCATATGCAGAAAATTTAAAGTGGACACATCCCTTACACTATATACAAAAATTAATTCAAGATGCCTTAAAGACTTAAATGTAAAACCCAAAACTATAAAATCCTGGAAGAAAATCTAGGCAATACCATTCTGGATACAGTCACAGACAAGGTTTTCATGATAAAAACACCAAAAGCTATTGCAACAAAAGCAAAAATTGACAAATGAGATCTAATTAAACTAAAGAGCTTCTGTACAGCAAAATAAACTATCATCAGGGTGGACAGACAACCTACAGAATGGGAGAAAATTTTTGCAATTATTCATCTGACAAAGGTCTAATATCCAGATTCTATGAGGGACTTAAACGAATTTATAAGAAAAAAACAAACAACAACATTCAAAAATGGGCAAAGGACATGAACAGACACTTCTCAAAAGAAGACATTCATGCAGCCAACATACATTTGAAAAAAAGCTCAACATCACTGATCATTAGAGAAATGCAAATCAAAACCACAATGAGATGCCGCCTCACTCCAGTCAGAAGGGCGATTATTAAAAAGTCCACAAACAACAGATGCTAGCAAGGTTGCAGAGAAAAAGGAACACTTTTACACTGTTAGTCGGGATGTGAATTAGTTCAACCATTGTGGAAGACACTGTGGTGATTCCTCAAAGCTCTAGAAGCAGAAATACCATTTGACCCAGCAATCCCATTACTGGGTATATACCCAAAGGAATATAAAATCATCTACTATAAAGATTCATGTACACATATGTTCATTGCAGCACTATTCACAATAGCAAAGACATGGAATCAACCCAAATGCCCATCAATGACAGACTGGATAAAGGAAGTGTGGTACATATACACCATGGAATACTATGCAGTCATGAAAAGGAATGAGATAATGTCCTTGGCAGGACGTGGATGGAGTTGGAAGCCATTATCCTCTGCAAATTAACACAGGAACAGAAAACCAAACACCACATGTTCTCACTTATAAGTGGGAGCTGAACGATGAGAACACATGGTCATATGGGAAAAACAACACACACTGGGGCCTGTCAGGGGGCTAGGGGGAGAGAGAGCATCAGGACAAATAGCTAATGGGTGCTGGGCTTAATACCTAGGAGATGGGTTGATCTGTACAGCAAAGCACCATGGCACACGTTTACCTATGTAACAAAACTGCACATCCTGCACAAATACCCATTAACTTAAAATAAAAGTTGAAGAAAGAAAAAAGTTTCACTTACTAGATTTGCCAAAATTAAAATGTTAATAATAATCAGTTATGACAAGTGTATGAAGAACCAGACACTCTCAGATACTGTTGTTAGGGAGTTTGAATTGGTACAAGTGTTTCAGTAGTAACTCAGAATTCTCTATTACATTGTAAAGTATGTATAACTCGTAACCCAGAAATTCCACTTTAAAAAATTTATTCTATTCATTGCCAGTTCAAGTGCACAAATAAGTGTATAATACACATTGCAGCATTGTTTTAATTATGATAAGTTATAAAGAATCTAAACATCCCTTAAGGGGAAAGGGTAAATAAATTAAGGAACATCTATATAATGGAATATTGTACCACCACTAAAAAGAATGAGGTATACATATATACATTGATATGGAAAGCTGTCTATGAAATATTGTAAATTGCACCTATATATGCATTATATACATCTGCAAATGCTATATGCTACATACATACTTATGCAAATGAAGTCAGGTAATTCAGAACTGCAACAACTATCCTGCCTCCATGAAGGGAAGACTGAGAGAGTCTAAGGAAAACCATGCCACAAACATTAAATCTCCAAGGCTTGGAAAAATGTCACCTCCATACTTCTGGTTATGTGAGAGAATAAACATCCTAATTGTTTTAATCAGTTTTTGTTGTATCTTCTGCACTTATAGCCAGAAAAGTTTTAACCATCATGGCTGGTTAATCAACACAGCTCTAAAACAGTGGCATGACAATTTAACAAAAATTGATGGGATATTTTGGTGTTACATGCACACAGCCTCAGAGAAGATTTCCCAGATTAAGGAACTGCAAGGGCAGAATGGAGAATAAATTCTATTTGTTATATTTTCTTCATTGTTTCTTTTCATTGGAAATAAGATTGAATTAAATTAAGACAAATTTCTTAGATTCATACATCAGGTAACATAATTCATATTACAAATATAAATTCTAAAACTTGAAGAATTGTTTTTTCTAAAATGCAAGCCAAAATTACTTTCATGAGGCTGGGCGCAGTGGCTCATGCCTGTAATCCCAGCACTTTGGGAGGCTGAGGCGGGTGGATCACCTGAGGTCGGGAGTTCAAGACCAGCCTGACCAACATGGAGAAACCCCGTCTCTACTAAAAATACGAAATTAGGCGGGCATGGTGGCACATGCCTGTAATCCCAGCTACTAGGGAGGCTGAGGCAGGAGAATCACTTGAACCTGGGAGGCGGAGGTTGCGGTGAGCCGAGATCGTGCCACTGGACTCCAGCCTGGGCAACAAGAGTGAAACTCTGTCTCAAAAAAAAAAAAAAAAAAAAAATTACTTTCACGATGTGGTGAAAAAGACAAAAAATTTATGAGGTATTTTTTCCTTTTCAAATTCATTTTGCTTATTACCACAGATGAAACCTTATATTAGCAATATTTTGAAATATATACGTCTTAAGTTGGGTTCCACAAAAAACAAAAGTCTGACGCAGGGCTTGCATGCAGATAATTTATTTTGGGGATCTGGAAAGGCTGAAATAAGGAAGGATGAACAGCCAATCGGGAAGTGACTTATTGAGCTAGATACTTCTGTGGATAACTGGGACTGGGGCCACTGGGGACCCTGCCAGGAACCATTTAGATAGCACTTCAGATTTATATCTTCAAGGCCTTCTCGAGGCTTCACTTTCTTCAGCTGCAAAACGAGAGTTTGTACTTTTCATAAATTCTAAAATCCCACATAGCTCTAAATTTGTATTTGTGTCTAAATACAAATGCTGCTTTGATTGACCAAAACCAACAAACCAAAATTTAAACTGTAAGTGTAATTTTATTCATGTATTTTGAAATATATCCCAAAGTCCTAGGATATTATTATACATGATAATGCACAATGGGAAATAGAGTAGGAAAAAGACCTTCAATTTACAAGGGATTTTTTTCCTATTTTATTATAAAGAATCTACTATGCTTAGTACTGGGAAATAAGCCCAATTGACTAAAGTTATAGCTGAGAATAGCCAATCATTCAGTTGAGGTTGTTTGGGATACTTTGACCCTGCCAATAAATATTTCATTATATTTTAGCTATAAATTGATTCAGCTGTAATAAATACGTGGAATCAAAAGAAAAGAGGGGATACAGAAACTGCTATATCAAAAATAAGAATTTGCTAGAGTGATTCAGAAAAATAGAATTTGAAAGCAGTTTAATCACCACTAATAAAATATTGAAATTGATTTTTTCCAGTTATTAACAATTGCTTTCTTTTGACATATATATGCCACATTATTATCTACTTTAATAAAATGCTACATATTCATCTTAACTTACTTTAGTATACATTGAATGGATGCTTATCATAACTTTATCAGAGTAATAATATCATGCCTTCTAATCTATTAATTTAATTCCATCTAAAATGGTAAGTTTATACATTAATATGATTAGGAAATTTTCCCTTTCTTAAACATAAAATAGTTTATATATTTTCTCTATATTTTGGCAATTACTGTCATATATATTTTAATTTTTATTTAAGGTTCATGGGTAAATGTAGGTTTGTTATATAGGTAAACAGTGTGTCATGGGGGTTTGGTGTGCAGATTATTTCCTCACCCAGGTGGTAAGCATAGTACCCAATAAGGACTTTTTTGATCCTCATCCTTCTCTCATCCTCCACCGTCAAGAAAGCTCTGGTGTCTATTGTTCTATTCTTTGCGTCCATGTGTACTCAGTGTTTAACTCCCACTTATAAGTGAGAATATTTGGTATTTGGTCTTCTGTTCCTGTGTTAGTTCACTTAGAATAATGGCCTCCAGCTCCACCCATGTTACTGCAAAGGGCATGATATCATTATTTTTATGGCTGCATAGTATCCCATGGTGTGTATTGCCACATTATCTTTATTCAGTATACCACTGTTGAGCCCATGTCTTTGCTATTATGAATAGTGCTGTGGTGAACATACATGTGCATATGTCTTTATGGTGGAAAGATTTATATTTCTTTGGGTATATACCCAGGAATAGGACTGCTGGGTCACATGTTAGTTCTGTTTTAAAATATTTGAAAAATATCCAAACTGCTTTCCACAAAGGCTGAACTAATTTACATTCCCACCAGCAGTGTATAAACATTCCTTTTTCTCTGCAACTTCACCAGCATCTGTTATTTTCTGACATTTTACTAATAGCCATTCTGATGGGTATGAGATGGTGTCTCGTTATGGTTTTTACTTCCTTTCATCTAGTGATTAGTGGTGTTGAAAACTTTTTCATGTGTGTTGGCCACTTGTATGTGTTCTTTTGAGAAATGTCTGTTCATGTCTTTGGTCCACTTTTTAATTGGGTTGGTTTTTGCTTGTTGATTCATTTAAGTTCCTTATAGATTCTGGATATTAGACCTTTGTCGGATGCATCGTTTGCAAATATATTCTCCCGTTCTGTAGGTTGTCTATTTACTCCATTGATAGCTTCTTTTGCTGTGCAGAAGCCCTTGAGTTTAATAAGGTCCTATTTGTCAATTTTTGTTTTTCCTGCATTTGTTTTTGGTGCCTTTATCATGAAATATTTTCCAGGGTCTATGTCCAGAATGGTATTTCCTAGGTTATCTTTTAGGGCTTTAATAGTTTTAAATTTATATTTAAGTCTTTAACCCACTTCGAATTTATTTTTGTATGTGATGAAAAAAGGGTTCCAGTTTCAGTCTTCTGTATATGGCTAGTAAGTTATCTCATCACCATTTATTGAATAAGGAGTCCTTTTCCCATTGCTTGTTTTTGTCAGCTTTGTCAAAGATCAGATGGTTGTAGGCAAGTGGCATTATTTCTAGGCTCTCTATCCTGTTCTATTCGTCTACGTGTCTGTTTTTATACCAGTATAAGGCTGTTTGGTTACTATAGCCTCATAGTATAGTTTGAAGTCAGGTAATATGATGCCTCCAGCTTTGTTCTTTTTGCTTAGTATTGCCTTGGCTATCTGCCATCTTCTTTGGTTCCATATGAATTTTAAAACAGTTTTTTCTACTTCTGTGAAGAATGTCATTGGGAGTTTGATGGGAATAGCATTGAATCTGTAAATTGCTTTGGGAAGTACAGCCACTTTTACAATAATGATTCTTCCTATCCATGAGCATGGAATGTCTTTCTATTTGTTTGTGTCATGTCTGATTTATTTGAGCAGTGTTTTGTAATTCTCATTTTAGGTAACTTTCACCTACCTTGTTAGCTGCATTCCTAAGTATTTGATTCTTTTTGTGGCTATTGTGTATGGGTTTGTGTTCCTGATTTGGCTCTCAGACTGAATGCTGTTGGTGTGTAAGAATGCTACTAATTTTTGTAAATTGATTTTGTATCCTGAAACTTTGCTGAAGTTGTTCATCAGATCAAAGAGTTTTTGGGCAGAGACTATGGGGTTTTCTACATATAGAATCATATTATCTGCAAGCAGGGATCGTGTGACTTCCTCTCTTTCTATTTGGATGCCTTTTATTTTTCTCTGGTCTGATTATTCTCTGAGATTTCCAGAACTGTGTCAAATAGGAAGGTGACAGAGGTCATCTTCGTCTTGTTCTGGTTTTCACAGGGAATGCTTCCAACTTTTGTCCATTCAGTATGGTGTTGGTTGTGGGTTTTTCATTAATGATGCTTATCATTTGAAGTATGTTTTTTCAATGCCTAGTTTGTTGAGGGTTTTTTTTAACATGAAGGGATATTTATCAGAAGCCTTTTCTGCATCTATTGAGAGGATCATGTGGTTTTTGTTTTTAGTTCTCTTTATGTGATGAATCACATTTATTGATTTGCATATGTGGAACCAAGCTTGTATCCCAGGAATTGCGGTTTTGAATTCCATTTATCTAGTGATTAGTGGTGTTGAGAACTCTTTCATGTATGCTGGCCACTTGTATGTGTTCTTTTGAGCCCACTTGATTGTGGAGGATTAGTTTTATTATTTGCTTCTGGCCTCAGTTTGCTAGTAGTTTGTTGCGATTTTTTGTGTCTACATTCATAAAGGATACTGGCCTGAAGTTTTCTTTTTTTGTTGTGTCTCTGCAAGATTTAGGTATCAGGATGTTCCTGGCCTCATAGAATGATGTAGGGAGGAGTCCCGCCTCCTTAACTTTTTGGAATATTTTCAGTAGGAATGGTACCAGCTCTTCTTTATATGCCTGGTAGAATTATGCTGTGAATCCATCTGGTTCTGGGTTTTTTCTGGTTGGTAGTCTTTTTATTACTGATTCCATCTCAGAACTCATTATTACTCTGTTTAGGGATTCAACTTGTCCCTAGTTCAATCTGTGGAGGTTATATGTTTCCAGGAGTTTATCCATTTCTTCTGGGTTTTCCAGTTTGTGTGCACAGAGACATTCATAGTAGTCTCTGAGGATCTTTTGTATTTTTGTGGGGTTGGGGGTAATGTCCCCTTTGTCATCTCTGATTATGTTTATTTAGATTTTCTTTCTTTATCTTCATTAGTCTAGCTAGTGCTCTGTTAATCTTATTTATTCTTCCAAATAACCAACTTTTAGTTTTGTTTAGTATTTGTATGATTTTGTGCACCTCAGTTTTATTTCAGTTTAGCTCTGATCTCTGTTATTTCTTGTCTTCGGCTAGCTTTGGGGTTGATTGGCTTTTGTTTTTTTAGTTCCTTTAGGTGATGTTAGTTGTTAATTTGAGAACTTTTTAACTTTTTTCATGTGGGCATTTAGCACTATAAACTTCCATCTTAACATTGCTTTAGCTGTGTCCCAGAGATCTTGATATGTTGTATCTTTGTTCTCATTCGCTTCAAAAAATTTCTTAATTTCTGTCTTAATTTCATTGTTTACCCAAAAGTAATTCTGAAGTATGTTGTTTAATTCCATGTGATTGTATGGTTTTAAGCAATTTTCTTAGTATTTATTTTAATTGTGCTGTGGTCAAAGAGTATGTTTGATATGACTTTGGTTGTTTAAAATTTGCTGAGGATTGTTTTATGGTTCATTGTGTGGTTAATTTTAGAGTATGTGCCATGTGCAGATGAGAAGAATGCATATTGTGTTGTTTTTGGGTGGAGAGTTCTGTAGATGTCTGTTATACCCCTTTGGTCAAATATCAAATTTAGTTCCCCAATATCTTTGTTAGTTTTCTGCCTCAATTATCTGTCTCATACTATTAGTAGAGTGTTGAAGTCTTCCACTATTATTGTGTGGTTATCTAAATATCTTTGTAGGTCTCTAAGACCTTATTTTATGAATTTAGGTGCTTCTGTGTTGGGTGCATATATATTTCAGATAGTTAGTTCTTCTTGTTGAATTGAACCCTTTATCATTATGTAATGCCCCTCTTTGGTGTTTTTTGATGATTGTGGTTTAAAGTCCATTTTGTCTGGTATTAGAATAGCAACCCTTGCTTTTTTCTATTTTCTGCTTGCTTGGTAGATTTTTCTCGATCCCTTTACTTTGAGTCTCTTGGCATAATTCCATGTGAGAAAGGTCTCTCATAGACAGCATACAGTTGGATCTTGCTTTTTTAGCCAATTTGCTGCTTTGTGCCTTTTAATTGGGGGCATTTAGGCCACTTGTATTCAAAGTTAATATTGATATGTGCAGGTTTGATCCTGTCATCATGTTGTTAGCTGGTTATTATACAGGCTTGATTGTATAGTTACTTAATGATGTCAATAATCTATGTACTTAAGTGTGTTTTTGTGGTGACTGGTAATGGTCTTTTGTTTCCATGTTTAGTGCCATTTTAAGGGCCTCTTATAACGCAACTGTGGTGGTAGTGAATTCCCTTGCATTTGCTTGTCTAAAATGGAACTTATTTCACCTTAGCCTATGAAGCTTAGTTTGGCTGGATATGAAATTCTTGTTTGTAATTTCTTTCCTCTAAGAATACTAAATATAGGCCCTCAATTTCTTCTGGTTTGTAGGGTTTCTGCTGAAAGGTCTACTGTTAGCCTGGTGGGTTTCCTTTGTATGTGACCTGCCCCTTCTCTCTAGCTTCCTTTAATATTTTTTCTTTCACATTGGCTTTGCATAATCTGATGGCTATGTGTCTTGAGGATGGTTGTCTTGTAAAGTATCTCAGAGGGGTTCTCTGAATTTCTTGAATTTGAATGTTAACCTCACTAGCAAGGTTGGGAAAATTTTCCTGGACAATATCCTCATATATGTTTTCCAAGTTGTTTGCTCTCTCTCCTTCTCTTTCAGGGATGCCAACAAGTTGTAGGTTTGGTCTCTTTACATAAGCTTATATTTCTCAGAGGTTTTGTTTATGCTTATTTATTGTTTTTTCTTTATTTTTTTCAGGGAACCAGTCTTTGAGCTCCAAGATTCTTCCCTCAGCTTGGTCAATTCTTCTGTTAATGCTTGTTATTGTTTTATGAAATTCTTGAAGTGAGTTTTTGAGCTCTATCAGTTTAGTTTGGTTCTTTCTTAAAACTACCATTTCATCTTTCATCTCCTGTATTGTTTTATCATATTCCTTAGATTCCTTGGATTGGGTTTCAACTTTCTTCTGGGTGTCAATGACCTTCGTTCCTATCCATATTCTGAATTCTATTTCTGGCATTTCAGCCATTTCAGCCTAGTTAAGAACCATTGCTTGGGAGCTATTATGGTTATTCAGAGGTAAGAAGACACTAGCTTTTTGAGTTGCCAGAGATCTTGCACTGATTCACTCTTACCTGTGTAGGCTAATGTTCCTTCAATTTGAAATTGCTGTCCCTTGGATGTGATTTTTTGCTTTTTCCCTCTTTGATGCTTTTGCGGGTTTGATTATGGCATAAGGTGAGTTTAGTAGACTGGCTTTGATTCTAGTCCACTCCTGGATCTTGGATGAGCCCCCTCTGTTTACTTTCTCTATGCCTGCATCTCTTTTGTTAGGTGTTCTGTTCCATGGTGCTCCCTCAGGCAGGGACTGCAGTTGGCAGACAGGCCGTTTCCTTGCTGGGTCAGTCCTAATCTTCCATCTGAGTGCTTCCCAGGGAAACACAGGGTTGCATCTCCCCACACAGATCAGGCAGAAATGGGACCTCTAGGCTCAAAGCTCTAGCAGGTGTGACTGGCTATGAGAGGCAGGGTTGGGTGGAGTTGCTCAACCTGCTGTCCGAGCGATTCCAGGGCAAGAGGAGGCTGCATCCACTAGCTGAGTCCACACACAAGCAAGACCACTGGGCCAGAAGCTGCAACAGGCATTGTCTGTCTGGCTACCAGTGGCGAGGGTGGGTGGGGCCACACGCCCTGCCATCTGGGGGTTTCTCAGGATACCTCCATATTTATATTAACAATAGGAAAATTTAAGAAATTTCTTTTATTTTTATACTTGAATGATGAAAGAAGCTTCACAATACATAATACCATATTTATGGTCAGAATTTATCATACTCTCTGATGGTTATGAATATGTGTGTCTGTTAGGATTCAAAACCTATATTCTGTATTTCTGAGGAGATTCCTAACGATATTAACTACTTACATATTTTAATTATTGAATAAAAATATGTAAAATAATATCTGTAAGACTAGCCAAGCAGGTTTTATATACTGTGTATATATTTGTACTATAACTACCCTACTTATTGCTGATAATGAACTTTTCCACATCACCCTTGAAATTGGTGGACTTTTTTTTGTATTACAGGTAAGGCCTGTGTAGCATGGATTAAAATTATTTTATTCTAATACTAACAGGCTCTGCAGTGTTCAGGGTTTGTTAATATGATATGAAATTCTCTGATGTTAACTGAAAATGTATAATAGCATGTAGATACTTCACTTTTGAAGGTGAGTGTAAATCTCTTAGACAACGGAATGAACAAGAGACTTATGTGTTCACTGCGGTGTGTTTCACAACATTTCACCCCTATTAAAGCCCTCTACCAGTGTTAATCCCTTCATAATCCATAATATAACACAAAGTATCCTGTGTTTTTGTGTGCTGTTCAAGGGGCCTCATAACTGAACTCATAATAGAATTCATAATTCTGGGAGAATTATTTTTTATTTTTCGGTAGATCTGTGTTTGGGGAAGTGTCACCTAGGAAATTTTGAAAAAGCACTACAGGTGTGAAATGAGAGCTTGCATCTCATCAAGAATTTGGGATTTTTATATGAATTATTTCTGACAAATATTTGGCAGACAAACTTTTCTGTGCTGGTTAGCAGGGGTCCTGAAAGGAAAACAGCTGTGCTAGAAAACTGTTAGTCTCTAAAGCTTTTATAAAACATAGAAGTATTTAGACTTTTAACAACTTATTTCACAGCTTTATACAGATCAATATCTGTACAAGCTAGGGTTAGACATGTACCCTAAAACTTAAAGTATAATAATAAAAAATAATAAAATAAATAAAAATAAAAAATAAAAAATAATTTAAAAAAAGAAAAAATAGAGACCCTCCAGGAAGTTTCTCATTTTTTCATGTAACTTTTTCAACCAGAATAAATCTATTTATACAATTCCCTAATTTTCTTTTTAATTTTTCTCCATACTTCAATCAATGCTGCATTACCTAATAGGCAAATTAAATATATGCTAAGGCACCAATACACCAGCATCATCCAAAAACTGTTTATGAAAGAATGTGATATTTAATATCTGCTCCCCCCAACACATTAAAGTAGAATTGGCAGACAGTGTTACAATTTAATGGAATTTCCTCCTTTAACATTAGCATTGTTTCTTTTTGCTTATTTTTGGGAATAGGGTACCATACTTTTCCTTGTTTGGGGCCTCTCATTACTGTCTTCTTTTTAAATCTTTTAGAATTGAAATTTTCACACACATACCAAAGTAGAAAGAATAGTAAAATGAATTCCCATGTACCCATCACCTAGCTTCAACAATCTTTAACTCTTGATAATTATTTCATCTGTACTTCCACCCACTCTCACTCCCCACCTTCCATTATTCTGAAGCAGATCTCAGACATCATATTATTATATTTGTAACTATTTATCAATCTCTAAAATAGATCTTTTTGAAAAATTCAAATCTTCAGAGAAATTATAAAAATAATTAAATTAATACCTGTACTTCTTTACTAAGATATCTAGCTGCTAACAGTTTGTCACATTTGCTTTATCGTTTTCTATATAATAGAGAAATACATATGTAAGTATATTTCAATGATTTTTGCTGAATCATGTAAGAGTAAGCTTAAGTCACAGATATGATGATCCTTCACCCTGAAATACTTCGGCATGCATCTGTTAAGAATAAGAGCATTCTTTTATCTAATTATCTTAAAATTATTAAATTTAAGAAATTTATATTGATACAATACTATTATTCAATACATAGTCCACATTCAAGTTTCTACAGTGGTCCCAATAATGTTCATTATAGTAATTTTTTTCAATCCAGGATCCAATTCAGAATTGCATTTAGTTATCATATTTTTAAATATCCTTCAATCTAAATTCTTTTGTTTTCTATGGTATTGACATTTTGAAAAGTATAGATCAATTGTTTTGAGAGACATTTGTGGAACGTCCCTCAATTGTCCCAGCATAGCCCTGACATCAACCATCTCCACCCCTACTCTCTAGGCCTTAGATTTCTTTAGGACTCATGGTCACCATAGACATAGCTGAAGGTGTCTTCACCTGGAATCTCTTTCATTTGAAATAAATTACCTTTGTTTGAATTTGTGGGAAAGCAGAAGGGCAATGTGAAGAAGGAAAAAGGAGTGCACACCATCAGTGTAGGCTCAAATGAAGTCGTTAAGATTCAAACATTTAACATTTCATGACAGGATTTTTTTTTGTTTTTGTTTTGTTTTGTTTCTTTTGAGACAGGGTCTTGCTCTGTTACCCACGCTGGAGTGCAGTGGTGTGATCTCAGATCACTGCAGCCGCCGCCTCCCGGGCTCAAGCGAGCCTCCCACCTCACCCTCCCGAGTAGCTGGGACCACAAGCACCCACCACCACCTGGCTAATTTGGGGATTTTTTTTTTTGTAGAGATGGGATTTCACCATGTTGCCCAGGCTGGTCGCAAACTCCTCAAGCGATCCGCCGCCTGGGCCTCCCAAAGTGCTGGGATTACAGACATGAGCCACTGCGCCTGGCCACTAGAGGCTTTTTCAGTTGCTTCTTTCTAACTTACTATTTTTGGAACTTCACTTGACAAGTGCTCCAAGTGGAACATCTTAATAAGCAAGCATGTGTATCTGATGAGATTTGGTGAGCAAGCTGAGATCATTGTTTTAATACACTAGTTTGTTTTCTACTTGCCCTAGGCCCTGTGTTGGCCTCTTAAATCCATCCTCCTGCTGCAGTCAAAGGAACCTATTTGAAAACACAACTCTGATTATGCTATTCCCTGGCTGAAAATAATCACCAAATGAGATAAAGTTCAAGTTTCATGGCATGGCACAAAAAGTCTTCCATGAACTGATGGATCCTAACTAATATTCGAGTTTTCTCACATCTGTTTCTGAGCTTCCCAAACAGAAATGTGATCTGCATAGAAGTAATGGAGCTCTATGCTTGAGGGGTCAGTATAGTGTAGTTTCTTAGAGCTTCAGCTTTACACAGTGGTAAGTAATTGTGGCAGACTGTAGTTTCCAAAGATAGCTGCCAGAATATATCCCAACCCACATACTCTTCTTCAATGTGAAAGTTGATAAGCGTTCTATCGAGGAGTAGGGCTGAGGTTCTCCTCTCTTGAAGGAAATGTGTGTGTGTGCGTGTGTGTGTGTGTGTGTGTGTGCGCATGTTGTGTGTGTGTGCACGCGTGTGTGTGTGTTATACTTAAGTCAGTGCTAATCACGGTATAAAAATATCACTTCATCTTTTAGAATTGTCATACCTAAAAACTTGAAAAATCCTCATTATTCTAGACCACTAGTTTTCAATGTGAGATTTCCACACCCAGGGGATCTGAAAGGCCATCCACTAGGATATGGGAAGAAAACATTAAAATTTAGAACTTTTATTTTGTTCTCATAGATCTCTAACTTATATTTTATATATTTTAAAATATATAAAACTGCAGTATTGAATGTAGTAGCCATTAGCCACACATAGCTATTGAATACTTGAAACATGGCAAGTCTGAAATAAGACACCAGTTTAAAATGTACAAGAAATTTTAAAGACTTAAAATTTTTAAAGTAAAATATTTCATTATGATTTTTACATTTATGTCCTGTTGAAATAATATTTTTATATATTGGCTTAATTAAAGAGCATTATTAAAGTTAATTCCACTTGCTTCTTTTTTAAAATTTAGCTACTACATATGTATTTTAAATTACATACGTGCTTCTCATTTGTGGATCACACTATATTTCTATTGGATAACGTTGATAAATAACCATTTTATAGTAATACAGTATGTAAGTTTTAAGTTAATAAACAGGAAACTTGTATTGGAGGAATGCATGTTTACACTTGATAGGAGTGGGCAATTACAAATGTTTGGAAAATGGTGATATTGAAAGCCAGTTGGAAAATATATTTAAAATAATGTAGGACACAAGTTACCAAAAGGGAACATCCTTCTTCATTCTTGCCCCTTTTCTCTTCACGAGTCCCCCCAAAATATTCACTATTCTCCAAATCAGTATTACCCTCCTAAAAATGCCCAGTTTGTACTGCTCTTTACTCTGGTTTGTTCAGTGTACCCAGCTGGCAAAACTGCTAGCATGAGTCTTTCTCACTATCCAAGTACCTCATCCAAGTACTACTCTCTCACATGGCCTTGAGTCAGGACTGACTACGTATTTGCAGGGCCCAGAACAAAATGAAAATGTGGAGCCCTTTGTTGAAAAATTAGTAAGCATTCAAAAAAAGCAAAAGCAGAACATTAAACCATGTATGGGGCTCTTCTGAGTCTTTGGCCCTGTGCAACTGCATAGCTCACACCCTCATGAAGCTCACCCTGCCTCAGGTCATGTACCTTCTTGGAGTCTCCAGGTGTTCTTGGTCTTTCAGACCTCTAGATAATTACTGTGAGGTGCTGAGAATTCCCCATCCTGATTTAGCAGGATAATTGTAGGTCTTTATAATTATAGTTCTTCAAGTAAAGGCTCTGCCCTTTCATTAAGCTACTAAAAGCACAGGTTTTCTTGAGTCTTCTCTTGAGTTTCTTGGACCATCCTTGGATAAAGCATTCCTAGCCACAGCAAAGAGGCTATTTTTAGAGTCTTCACAAATAAAGAGATACATCTCATTCCCTTAGCATTGTCCTCAATAATTGTTTGATTAAATTTGAATCAGAATGTTTTTCATGTTGAGTAACAGACAGTGTTTTGATAATTATTTCTTCACACACTATATGGCCTAAGTGACCTAATGAATGTTAAAAGAAATGTGGGGGGCTGTCATTGTTAATATTTCATTAAAATATAAGAAATACTAACAAATTTAAGTGTCTTATTACCCTATGAGATGTTCATACAATTTAAAATATTATGGCTGAAAGCTGCTTAAAGATGATCAAAGGAATGTGTTAATGTTTCTGTTGAATTTTAAAAAGTGAGTTTTTAATTATCAGGGTACAAAGAATTGGTCTTAATTAACTTTTTGAAAGAAATCAGAGTATTGATTTCACTATAATAATAAACATCGATCATTTTTGTTCATAAACTGACTTACAAGAAAGTGTGCCTTCTGATTTTGTTTTTTTGTTGTTGTTGCTGTTTGTTTGTTTTGAGACAGAATCTCCTGCTGTCGCGTGCAGTGGTGCTATCTCAGCTCACTGCAACCTCTGCCTCCCAGGTTCAAGTGATTCTTCAGTCTCAGCCTCCCAAATAGCTGGGATTACAGGCATCTACCACCACACCTGGCTAATTTTTGTATTTTTAGTAGAGATGGGGTTTCATTATATTAGCCAGGCTGATCTCGAACTCCTGACCTCAAGTGATTTGCCCGCCTCAGCCTCCCAAAGTGCTGGGATTACAGGAGTGAGCCACTGTGCCCGGCCTGAAAGTGTACCTTCTAGAAGTAGAGAAAGTTGAAAACTATGTCCCTTATTGTGGAACAAAATAGCAGCTAGTACCTGGGAATAAGCATGAATAATGGAGGTGTGAACATAGAAAAATGAAACGATTCAAAGGTAAAATAAGTGGGCAGCACTTCCTTGAACTGACAGCTGCCACAAATCCCATGACCTAATTTCACTGCAATGACAAATGGCTTCCTTTTAAATAACTTATGCCCTATACCATGCTTGCATTCACTTTAAACTTAGTTAGATATGTGCCGAATATGAAATAAAATGTAAACTTTTAAACTAAGGTGGATAGGAGTCAAATTGATACTTGAAAAATAACAAAATGTATTAGATAACCTTCATGAAGCTACCTTGAATTCTTGTAATAACGTATTTTATATAGCCAACACAAAATTTCTAATATTATGTGTAGTCAGTCAAAATACCAAAAGAGCAGAGTCAAAATGTATTTGCTCATGGTCGTCATCCTTCTACCCAGACATATAGAAAATAAATCAGTGGAGAGCTCTTTAATTATGTTATAATGTAAACATATCAGTAAATGCCAAAGTGAAGTGTCGCCTTACTTTCACTACCCAATAATTGAGTGTCTCTTAAGAGCAATACATTTCGCCGGGCGCGGTGGCTCATGCCTGTAATCCCAGCACTTTGGGAGGCCGAGGTGGTGGATCATTTGAGGTTGGGAGTTTGAGACCAGACTGGCCACCATGGTGAAACCCCATCTCTACTAAAAATACAAAAATTAGCTGGGCGTGATGGCAGGTGCCTGTAATCCCAGCTACTTGGGAGGCTGAGGCAGGAGAAATGATTGAATCCAGGAGAAGGAAGTTGCAGTGAGCCAAGATTGCACCATTACACTCCAGCCTGGGTGACAGAGTGAGACTCTGTAAAAAAAAAAAAAAAAAAAAAAAAAAAAAGCAATACATTTGTTTCATCACTAAAAAAAATCATATGACTGCCCTGTTAACTCCCCAGCTAATGAACTTCAAATGAGAGAATGAATATCAAAGAACTTTAAAATCTATAACGAATTGTGTAACTATTTCTTCTTTCTTTCTTTCTCTCTCTCTCTTTCTCTCTTTCTTTCTTTCTTTATTTTTCTTTCATTTATTTGTTTTTTAGAGATGAGGGGGCCTCTATTGCCCAGGCCAGAGTGCAGTGGCACAATCATAGCTCACTGCAGCTCTAACTCCTGAGCTCATGCAATCCTCCAGCCTCAGCCTCCTAGGTAGCTGTGACTACAGGCTCATATTTGTATATATCTTATACACTCAAAACTGCTTTAGTTATAGGGCTCATCTGGAGTCTCTTTTCAGGCAATTGTTTCCTCCTTGCAATTTAGGGTTTTGTTTCCAACCATGGCACCTTTGTCTTCCAACTGGTATCATACCATGGTTCCCCACACTATGGATAAGCATGTGGTAAGTATGATGTCCATCTTACGCATAACACAGAGCAATTCAAATTTTATGGTGTTCTTTGATTAACATGACTATTATTTACAATAAGAAGTATAAATAAGATGCATCTGCATATGTTGCCTGAGTAAACAATCTCACCTTAGTCATTATAGTTTGCTTGCACCAGTGCCTCGGCCTCCCCTTGCAAGCCTCCCTGCCACGTTGGGATCCTCCCTGCGGGGGTATCATACCATGGTAATATGGGTTAAGTTAAAGAAGAATGGGTCTTAGCAGGCTGCAATTTTCTTTGGATAAATGGCTCATTTTTCACATGGCAGTAGATTCCTCTGTGACACATGGAAGACAGCAGGTGAATGTGAATGAGAAAGGTCACTTTGTTCAAAGTAGGAAAAATAGCTATGATAAGAATTTCATAACAATCCATCATATTTATCCATATAAATGTGGGTAGTGCAAAGTCAATATTAAAATGAAACACTTCCTGTTGGATATCTAGGGAAAAAGAAAAATACCTTTTCTCTGAGATCAATCCAGCCATCTTTGGTGCCCATTTAGTTCTCATTACAATAGACAAAGTATTGTGGACTTATTTTAGTTGTATGCTGTAAATGTTGTGGGTACACTTTTTGGAGAAAATCTATTTATCTAAAGATATTCTATAATAATAGGTTTGATTATATGTGTGTGTGTGTGTGTGTGTGTGTGTGTGCATGCGTGTGTTTGGTTTTATTACTTTTGAAAAGGTTATTAACTTCTTTACTCCTAGGGTTTGGGCCAAATCACATAGACACTTGACTAAATGGTAAATTCTGTTTTTTTAAAAAACTTTTTTCTAGTCCTATACACTAGCACTATTGTAACAACAACAACAAAATCAGAAAGCTCAGTAATAAATTATTTGATAAAGCCTCACCTTGACTCTTTCTTTCTTCAATTGCTCTGGGGTCCATTTCAGTTTGGATTTCCTAATATCATTATCTCTGGAGTCTAATCTGAGAAGAGATAAAGGAAGAAATCCCTGGTTAGAGAACAATGAGGCCCTATAAATACACCAAGGCACTCTCAAGCCTCTCAACAGGACTATCTTCCTGAGAAAAAGCCATCAAATGTTGCAATTTCTCATATGGTTTATACCAGAGCTGCCTAGGATGTCAATTTAGATGGACTGTTTGGCTATATGGTTGTTATGAATAGACTACAGGGTTTTACTGACAATTGTAAACACTACAACATACCACAGGGCCCCTTTGTCCCTTCTTTTTAGTTCATATATCATTTCTATACATATCAGTCTCTTTCCAACAACAAACATTTAGCAAGTATTTTTTAATATGTTTTATGTGCCAGGTAGTGTGCTGGCACTGAAAATACAATGATAAATAAGATAAACCAGGTGCCATCACTATGGAGCATCTTAATCTGGCATGAGAAGAAACAAACAAAGATAATAACTGGTTGTGATAAAGAGTTTGAGAGAAATTTAAAAGGTGGCTTAAGTAAATAAAGGAGTCAAGGAAACTTTTCTGAGAAGGTAATATTTGAGCTGATTCTTAAAAGAATAGGAAACTCATGCGGCTGGCTTGTGGTGTTGTGGCATGAAATGGAAGTAGGAGATACAGGCATGGCTGATTATATAAAGTCTTATAGACCATGGAAGAAAGGTTTGATTTTATTGTTAGCACAGCAGAAAGCCACTGAAGGGTTATGGAGGGATTTACCTTTTTATAATGTCAAAATATAAAACTGGAAGAGACCATACTGATCATTTTCTTTAAATATCTTATTAAAGAGATAATGACAATAAAGCCTAGAGAGTTACAATGACAAGTGGAGCAAGTCAATAGCAGAGTGGAGCCTGAACTTGGGTCTCTGGGCTCTAGAGAGAGGCAGGAAATGAAAAAGTAAATATCAAGAAGGAGTAAGGGAAGTTTTTTTTTTTCATCAAGAGTATGGAATACTCATGGAATAAACATTATATAGGTCATTTATTCTAAATGAAGAAAATGATCAGGCAAAGAAACAGCCAAAGGACTTAGAAGGTCCAGAAAACTGTGCACTTTCTCTCTGGCACAGGCAAGATGGAACGTTTGGGTATTTTTAGGTCATCATCCTCAAAATATAAGAAACATGTTCCCAGTTGATCCTAATCTGCCCTGATAATCCACTATGATTGTAATTAATAAGTTTTGTGCTATCTATGCTCATTTTCAGCCACTACCTCTTATTATTCACTTCTAAAGTTTGCTATATTTTATAATTCGAGTGATATTAAATAGGACTCTGTATGTTTTCTTTAATTTCTTGAGCTTAGTTATTCTCAAACATGTTTCTGAACACAAAAATACATGTATAACAATGACAATTACTGTTTAATATTTGTTGAAAGCTACAGTCAACCAAGTGCCAAGTGAAATATATATAGTTGATTGTTTCTCGCATTCTAAAGAGAATAAGGTTTAATTTAGAAGAAATTTGTTTGTTTGTTTCTATATAGCCCTTTATGCTTTCAGCATGTTGGACAATCATGTTCATTAGTTATTTCTCAAATAATACATATAAGTACTTTAGTACTCTACACATATTTTAGAAATGATAAAATAGACTAACGGGGACTAGAGTTCCTGGCATATGAGTATAGGATGTCATCTACCCAAAAATCCCTGAGACAGACTAGGATTTTCTGAAGTCAGGAACAACCTTGGTTCTGTGAATGATGTCTTAACACCCTAGGAAAAGCAAGCTTTCTACACATCTGCACAGCAATTATTCACAACTTCTGACACATCCTTTTCTGGGGAGTAATCTGGGAAACAGACAATCCTTATTCCTGTTATCTTGACAAATCTGTGTGTTTTATTTCTGGGCCAATGAAGTAGCTAAATGGGATATGTAAAATTTGTACATTTTTGATAGTAAAGTTCATGCCATTAGGACAATGAGTTAGTCATGTCATGACTTATTTGGTCTCTCTTTCTCTTTATTTATAAACATTCTGCAGGCCCTTAAGTTGATTCATAACCAATCAAGATTATTACTATTGCAACTGCTTGTTGTGCAATAAGAAATCAGGAAAAAGTACAATCCTAATTACAAGAAAAAAGCAATTCTGATGACATCCTAGATAGCAATTAAAGCAACAAAGTGACTATTAAATTATTATAAAATGTATGCTATAAACCTAAAATCTAGTACTTTATTCACTGACCTAATTATAGCAATTCCAGAATATTATCCCACAGATACAATCATATAAGTGTACACAGATATATATATATAAGAATTTTTCACTGTAGATTTTTATATAAATAAAATACTAAAATCTTAAATAACCTTCAATAAAGGAATAATTAAATAATAGTACATTCATAAAATTGAATATTGTGCAGTCATCTTAAAAATAGAGACTTTGAAAATGTCCAAGATACATTTTTATTGAATAGCAAAGTATTATACATGGTATGACTAAACACACACGCACGCACACACAGTATAATTTTCATAGCAAAATATTAAAAGAGTTTCTCACTAAGTGATAGGATTATAAGGGAGACTCAGATAAACATTACTTTTACTCCATAAAAAGAAAGAGATTCTATGCCAAAACCCTACTATGGAAAAATTAGGAGATTCAGAAAGAGAGAAGAAAGAAAACAGAGGAGAAAAAATTGATCAAACAAATAATACGAAAAAATTTCCCACAACTGAAGAACACACATTTCTAGAGTGATAAGTATCCAACAAGTGCTCAACACAGTATATGAGACCTTTATCAAAGCATGTTATAGAACAATTTCAAAACATTGGGGATAAAAGGATGATTTCTCAAGCTTCAAGGGGAAAATACAGTGTACTTACTTACAAAAAATCAGAATTTAGAAATTTAGAATGGTGTTGCAGTTCTTAAAACAACACTGGCAGCTAGAAGACATTGCTTTCAAAATTCTGAAGAAAGATTATTTCCAACCTCGAATTCTATGCATAGCAAATCAAATGTGACAGTTGTATAAAGATATTTTCAGACATGTAAGAACTCAAAAAATTAACCTCTCATGTGCCCTTTTTCCAAAAGCTACCAGAGGGTATGCACCACCAAAGCAGAGGAATAAACCAGGAAAGAGAAAGACATGCGGTCCAAGAAATGAATCTGCGCAGGAGAGAAAATAAGAAAATTCCCAGAATGATGGTAAAGATTAACAGGTCTGTTAATTTCTTTAAAAGTTTACTTCAGACCAGACCAATTTCCTTTAGAATTTTTGCCTAATAGGGAAATTATGTCATCAACCAAATGGCATTTACTTTGCTGCCAGATGTATATTCTTTGAATGTTTTATTCTATGGTGAGAGAACTAAGGATTGGAAATGGAAAATAGTCTATGCTTAGAGTTACCTTCTGCTTTTCTGGTTTGAAACTGCAAGTCCTTTAATGGCAAAGCTGAGGATCTTCCCATGCTAGTACAAATTTATCCCTAACATTGAAAAATCAAAACTGAGTGTTTTGTCTTGTTTTCTGAACTGAATGACAATCATGCTCATTGTTTTTAACTGTGTATGTTGGGGAGGGGGCAGCGTTCAGAAAAAGAAACAATGCTTGATAAACAGTACTTTCTCTGGCTAGGGTCTACAAAAACTGTTCTTCAATTTTCAGCTGTAACAAATGAATTTTAAAATGTAAACAAACATATGGATGTATATTTATGTGTATATGTAATTCACACACATATATGTGTATATATGTGTGTACACGTGTGTATATATATATATGTGTGTACACGTGTGTATATATAGATGTGTGTGTGTATATATATACACATATGTGTATATATGTGTGTGTATATATATACACATATGTGTATATATATATATATACACATATGTATACACTCAAAAAACAGCAATCTGACAGTCAGTGAGCTACAGAGAGAATAGCCAAATGATCTCCCCTCATAGATTTTACTGTCAATGGGAAAAGTGGTAATACATTATTATAAGCTTGACGAGTATACTAAAAGAGGAAGAGCAAATAACAAAATGATTTAACCTAATCTAATCATAAATGCAGAACCTATTGCTATTCACAGCTGTCTCTTTAACTAACATATCTACTTATGGAAATAGCATGCCATGAGTCAGCAAACAGCGCTACAAATTTTATCTACTTTCACTGCCTAGTTTAACCATGCAGTGTGTCTCAAAGTAAACATATTGACCATTCAGAAATACAATATTTGTACTCACTTCTGGGTGACTGTGCTTTTCACTCCATGTAGGTACAGCCTAAGACCCATCACTTTCCTTATGCATGTTTAAAATAATCAAGCCTAGAATTCTACACCTAGCCAATCAAAGAATCAAACCAGTACACAAAAATCTTTCCATACGTCTAATTGCAACAACCCAGATTTATCTGTCTCTCTTGATATCTCACATTTCACAGTTATGCTGCCTCATCATTATAATTTGTGGTTGCATATCCATTTGAATAATACGTGATAGAATAAACCTTCTTAGTATGACTGACATTAGGTAGAATTATTTATTAAGCCAGATTCTGCTAATTGTTCCATTTAAGAAAGGTATTCTGAGGGATGTGGCAATTTTATAATGGACAGTATGTAGTCTGACTTACTGCAAACTATAAACCAAAAGACTTTTAAAGATGTGATAATTAATATAAACAAAAATTGTGATAGTACTGACCATCTCTTCTGTCTCAGAAAATGTTAATTGACTCCAAATGTTAAAATCAGTTATGAAAACCAGAGAGATTATTTGAGAATAAAGACTTGGGACTGCCTTCATAAATTTCAACTCAAAAAAATTTTGAAATTTCTTGTCTCAAGATTTTCTATTTCCATCAATGACTTTGATATCCAAGCTAGAACTTAGGAAGAAAAGAATAAGGCTAAGGTAGTCCTTCAAATTAATGAAATACATGAAACAGTTATTTCTCAGAATAGTTAAGGTGTCACTACTGTAATTGTATAATGACAGACACTTTGTTTTCATCTTAAAGCTATCATCCTGAATGAATGAATGAATGAATGAATGAGTTCCCAGGGTAGTCAGATAGCAGACTAGTTACCCTAATCATTGTCTCAATCAAAAAAGAACACTTTTTTTTTTAACGTACTGCTGTGCTGACTCAAAAGGAAGAATTATGCTGAAGTCAAAGTGAAACCTAGGAGATAAGTCAACACCAAAGTCAGCCTCACCCTGAGACATTTTGTGAAATCCTGGAGATTTCAGCTTCTGCAATGATAACTGTGTGGATATGAAACGGGAATCAACAGATAAAGCCTAGCTGCCCAAGGTGTGGAATACAAAAGAAAACCCCTCATAAAGATGAGACTCAAAGGTGTAAGGGTAAATAGGAAAGAAACATCAAATCAAATGAAAGCCAAACAATACAAAGAACAATGTACAGAAGGAACAGCAAAAAAAATAAAAAATAAAACTTGCTGATCTCGACCTTGATACTGAATAGAATGGAAAAAAAAAATCTCCCCTAAGAATACTCATTTATAACCACAAGCTGGTTCCTCCCAGGAATTTATAGTCCAAATTCATACTACCTGCATGGCCAGAAAATATCTTGAACAAAGAATATAATTTAAAGTGCTTCAAGGCTGGAAGTGGCTCTAGGCAACTGGCAAATCCTCTTTATAATAAGGCAACATCAACTCAGGTGCAAAGAATTCTCACAGATAAAAATAAAACTCAAGGTAAAACTATCAATCTCATCAATTCCAAAATACACATATTTTCAGGTTATACATCTCTGAAATTGAAGTGAATTTCACAATTCAAGTATTTAATAATGTATATCAAACTGGCAGTAGTTGGAATATAGCTGTGATTCCTTATTCATGTATGAATACCAAAAAGTCCAACATCAAATTTTATAGAAAGAGAGTCAGAGACTTGGAAGAAAATCCTACAGGCAATAGTAAAACACTCTTTTAACCCTTCCAAACTGAATGGTTGTACAGGGGGAAGTATGGAATAAGAGTATTTCTGAAAATTCCCAAAGCAGAAATAAATAGATGAGTTATTCGTGAAGTACTTCTAGCTAAGTTGAATCTCAACTACTTTATAGTATTTGTTGCTTTTATGAATAATTTCTTATTTCTAATATCAATGTTAACCTAGCTAACAAGCACAGCAACAATGACTTTTAGTTATTTTATGGATTTTTTAAAAAATTTTGACTTTACTAACATTCCTGATGACCAAATTATAATACTGTGTGAGAAAGCATACAGTTTTACCACTGTTACATAAAAAGTTATCGAGAAGAGTTATCCTCTTAATATAAAGAATTTTGGAAGACCTTAACCATTTGTTCATCAGGATTTTCTTTGTATTATGCATATAATATATAATAGAAACCTGTGTCTAATTAACTCTAAATGAATATGCTTTCAATAAAAATGTAAAATAAAAATTCAGAAGAAAGTACAGGGTCACAGTTTAATTGTGCTGCATTTTTCCTAGGAAGTGGTACATAAAATAAGAATAAATCTTACAGTCAATGAGGTCTTAAACTTCCTCATGAAATGTGATGGTATTGGAGATCCTGATTCACATGATAAAGAAATAGAAAGAAATATGATGTATATCAGTCAGGGTCCAGTCAGGAAACAGAGCCCATGCCAAAAAGTTCAAAGAGGGAGTTTAATATAAAGACAAATAGCAAAGGTATTGGAATAGCTGACAAGCCAAACAGCAGGAAGGTTTGGGAGGACGTAAGAGCAGGAAGCTTCTACCACTTCTAGGGCAGAAGGTACCAATGGAAGAGAGTGTCATGCAGCAGCAGGATTTCTTTATAAGATACCTAAATTTATGACCTAGGAATTATGCTCCTATTTATATATCCCACCTATGTCCAAGGGATGATTAATTCCAAGGGTATTAATACAAAGGGGTTCCTCTGAAGGGAAAAATATATATATTCAGGGAAGGTATATGTCAGGCCTATAAGGTACTGGTAATCCTATAGTATTTCTCAAGCTGAGGAGTTTGCGAGATAAACGCATGTTGGGTATAAGAATGACTGACTCATACTCCTTGCTATATAGTATTTCAGTTATAAATGTACCAGAATTTATTCATTTTTTCAACTGTTGATGGATGTATAGAGAAAAATAACCTATCCATACTTACAGGTCAAAGCATATGGAAATATATCTTTCTGTGCTTTTGAAGGTACCTACCACTGAGATCATCTGACAGGGAAAAATGCCTTAAATATAATTATCGTAGGGAGGAAATAAAAGAAGCAAATTTTGAGCTTTTCTAAAATCCACAGAAATTACAGTTTACTTTTAGTTTTGTTTATTTGTTATTGTTGTTGTTGTTTAAGAGCGACTCAGCTCACAGGCATAGCAAAATCACCTCACTACTAATTCAAAGAAATTTAAGATAAGGTGAAAGAAAATTTGCAAAACATTGAGAGTGCCATCGTTTCACCACTGAATTGACAAATGGCTTTCCAAGCCTAATGTTCATTAAGTTTTGGAAATAAATCTTCTCTAGACAAATTTTTAAACCTGTATGAGGAACTGCTCAAATCTGAGGAGGAGTACACACAGAAATGTGATAAAGAGTAAAAGTCAACAGAAAACCTAGTACATCTCCATAGAAAAAGAATGTTTCACTTATTTAAGAGTATTATTCTTTTTCTTTACAAAAACATGTTAAGGCCAGGGGAATTTACACTGTTTTTTAAAAGTAAAATTGAGTCATTTATAAGCCTCTGATCACACTGGTATATGATTTCAACTTCAAACACTTCAACTAAGATGTAGAAAAAATAATGCAAATAAAGGTATGTGCATTATTTTTTCTACATCTCAGTTGAAGTGTTTAACTTTTCTTTCTGCTACCTATATAGTGAAATATGAAGAAAGTTAAACTAGAAGTATAAAGAAACACACTTTATTGAGAAGAAAGATTAATTTTTTTGAAAAAATCATTATATCATCTTACATAATACTGGACCTTAACTTTTGTTTGGTGGAAAAGTAAGTAGTACAATTTGGTGTAAATGGCATATATGTTCTGAAGATAACACTAGAAAAGTAATTTCAAGTAAAATTGGAAATGGCTTGCTATACAAAGGATTTTAAACTTTACATAGATGAATTGTGGGAACAACTGGAATTTAGGAGCAGGGTTATAAAGTTACATGATTAAAATTGTAGTTTTAGGGGGATACATTGGCAGCAGTGTATAGGGAATTCATGGAAGAGGTACAGAATAGAGAGAAGAATGGAAGAGGATAGAGAAAGGGTGGCCTGTTAGTTTACCTTACCTAAAGTGAGAAGTAATAAGGCCTGAAATAGGACAGCAGCAGCGGGAATAGAGACAATGAAAATATGCCAATTATATATGTAGTCTTATATCATCATTACATATACCATGGACTAAGCAAATATCTAGTTACTATCCTACATGATATGACCTCCTCAAACATTTCCAGGCAATAAGTTATTTTGTCTAAATTCTCCCAAAGTTAATTGAATAAATATTTCCTATAATGGCAAAAATATATGTTAACCAGCATCAAAGATAGATGAGTAATACTCTATTTGCTCCTGAGAAGTTGGTAGTCTAATGGAAGGAATGTTCTATATGCAACTGAATAATAGAAGACAGGTGGGAAAAGATGCTGTAGCATAATATTTATTATTTCTGAGGCTTATGTTTAAACTTCCATGACATATTTTATACCTGTATGCTGTACATGCATTTCTCTGGAAGGAAACACAAATAACTGATAACAGCTATTATCGCTGAGGAAGGAATTTGGTGGCTGGTGAAGGGTTGGAGAGAGACTTGCTTTTCACCATATATTATTTCATAACATTTGAATTTTGGACCATCTGAATGTATTATTTATTTTTAAATGTTTTTAAATATATGATTCTTTAAATTCTTTCTTGTAGAAAAGTATTAGCACTTTAAAAACATAGCACATTCTATAAATGAGAGGTAATTATTATAATTTTTATTTATTTAATCATTGAATGTTTTATTTCAATCTTTGTTATTTCCCATTCATAGTTAAATACATTTTTTTCAAGGTGAAGAAACAAAGTTGATTTACTCAAAGTTTGAAATTATGCTCAACTCTAAGGTATATTTTATAAAAAATTACCAAATTAAGGAGAGTAAAATTCCAAGAATCTCAGTGTCTAAGAGCTGGTCTAGTCTCCAGCACTTATAGCTTTATGTCCATGGCATAGTCCTTTACACTCTCTGAGCCATAGATTACCTATCTATAAATTGTATAAAATGGGGGAAGTAACACATGCCCTGTTTATTTTATAAGATCATGTGTGGTAATATCCATAATAATACATACAGTGTATATAAAGTGGCTAAAAATGCACACAGTTACAGAACTCAAGTATGTGAACATGAAACTTCATTTACTTTTCTAAAACTAAACAGAATCTAGATTTCTAGTTCTACAGTTTCACTGATGGCATAAAACTTAATCTTGCTAATTCAATTGCTTTCAGATTTTTCTTAACTTCAGTTCTTCATTCTCACTCTTCCCCTTCTTCTTACATCTGGTTCAGAGTGATTAAAGAAGCTAGTGATGAAAGGAGATGATCTAAGTTCTTGGAGAAGGTGAAGGAAGGGACATATATAAATATGATTTTAGTATCAGAGAGATATTGTACATGTGATCCAAAAACTATCCTTTGTCTTCACTGGCCTCTGCTTAGTTATACCCCATGTCATTTGGTCTTCTTCAAAGGTGGGCTGGCAACTTTGATGTCTGCCTGCTCACCATGACACCTGATCGTTAGGTCTATCCATGTATTCTATGTCCATGTCTGATATCAGACTCCTGTCAGCAATTTAGAGCCCCCTACAACCACGCTAACATGCAGAGAAATCCTGGGCAGCTTTACCACACCAAGCAGGAATGCTTGTGACTCAGTGAGGCTGCCTATCCTGCCAAACCCCTCAGCCAATACTCTCTTCCCTATCAGCACCATGCTACACTGATCTCTAGGACAGTTGCCAGAAAATCACGACCCAGATTTCCTGTATTCTGGGCCCAATCAAACTTACCTGTGTTTTTATCAATCCTCTTAACTTGGAGGGGGCAGGATACAAGAGTCCCATATCCTCATTGTGTATAAGAATGCAAACCCAAAACTAACTCTCATTTTCATCTTTTTATTTTATCTCAATATCAATTTCATCTTCTCTGTCAGTGGTAACCAACTCTTATGCTAAATTCCATGCTGAGTCCACAGTCTTTTAGACTTTTGACATTCAATCCCTCCCCCTTTTTTCCACAAAAATTCCAGGCACCTGCCTTGGCCTTCAAGATTATTGTCATAAGTTAAACAAGAAAATGTAGGTATTCATTAAAACTGTACACAAATTTCATTTCTTTTAGAAATATGGTACCATTAAACTTAGTCACCCATTTCGATATTAGGCCTAACATGTGGCCTACTTTGGCCAATGAGATGCAAAAGGAAGTAACATGCCACTTCTGGGCAGGAATAAGACCTGGTGTGCATTTTGCTGTGCTCCATTTCAACAGCCTTAATTATAGAAGCATGTTGAGATGGAGCTTCTATCAAACTGGATCCCTGATTGCAATAAGCAGATCTCCCCATCAGTTCACGTTCAACATCTAGTATGAACAAGAAATAAGCTTTTTCTGGATTAAGCCACTGAAATTTGAGGGATTTTTATTACTGTAGCATAATCTAGACTATTCCAATTGGAAAACTTAATTTAATCTGGATTTATACCCCTACTGAGGCTATAGATACTACTGATAAAGAGCCACAGGGCAAAAAAAAATGTGTAGCAAAAAAAATCTTCAGTTGTTTGGAAATATCACTTATTTGTATGTTTAAGGTATTATGATCAGTCACATTATTTTGGCAGGTATAAACTTCACTGTATAGGAAGAAGGTGCTCATTTATAAAGGAAAGTTGAAACTTGTTCACTAGGCTGAAGACCTAGGCTGGTAGTTAGAGGTGAATAACTAAGGGGAATTTAAGCTGAGCTAGGGAGAAAGAGTAAGAGCAGAACCTTCAAAATAAAGTAACAGTAGATGGGACACAATGCTTGAGTAATGCTAGAGGGACATTATGCTGCATTATAAATCCTCTCTGAAAAATATGAAGAAGAGTCTATGCTTCTCCCTTATTAACATAAGACATTTGAATTAATGATGGCTATTTAATTATTGTCATTCAGTCCCAAATTTATTCCTTTATACATTGTTTTGTGAAGATGGATTCTGCAATCTACATTTCCCAGATTCCCATTCCAGCTGAACACTGGCTATGGGACTTGTGATGGTTACTATTGAATGTCAACTTGATTGGATTGAAGGATGCAAGGTATTGTTCCTGGGTGTGTCTGTGAGGGTGTTGCCAAAGGAGATGAACATTTGAGTCAGTGGGCTGGGAGAGACAAGCCCACCTTCAATCTGGATGGGCACCATCTAATCAGCTGCCAGCACAGCTAAGATACAAGCAGGTAGAGGAATGTGGAACGACTAGACTGTGAGTCTTCCAGCCTTCATCTTTCTCCTGTGCTGGGTGCTTTCTGCCCTAGGACATCAGACTCCAAGTTCTTCAGCTTTTGGACTCTTGGACCTTCGACCACAGACTGAAGGCTGCACTGTCGGCTTCCCTACTTTGGAGCTTCCTTGCTCCTCAGCTTGCAGACGGCCTATTGTCGGACTTCACCTTGCGGTCCTGTGAGTCAATACTCCTTAATAAACTCCCTTTCTTATATACATCTATCCTATTAGTCCTGTCCCTCTAGAGAACCCTGACTAATACAGGGCACCTGCCACCAAAGGTCCAAACCCCATCCATAGGTCATCCTACTCAGAAGTCTGGACAATAGTTGCCAGGTGCTCCTGTACTAAGGTTTGGGTGTTAAAACTGGAGTGCCCTCCTCAGAAGCTCAAACATCAATCCCATGTGGGCTTGTCTTCTCAGTTTTTAGGGGTCCAGTGGCCTGAGGCATGACAATATATCTCATTCAAAATGAGACACAAGTTGCTGTACCTAGCACCTCCTACAACAAAGAAAAAGGCACAATGCTTTGGATTTGAGAGAATATATATATATACGCCACATTTGAGTGTGCTGCTCCTGCCGATTTATTGTGTAACCTGTAAGGCTGTTATTCTGAATAGGACCCCAAGCAAGAGAAGTCCCTGAAGAAACCGTACTGCTGCCCAAGCTGCTCTGCTACTTGAGCTAAGCTTATGACCCAGAAGATCCAATGATACTATAAGTGTCTGTGGTAAATAGGAATGCTGCATAGACCAACAGGATAACTAGAGCCTTGAGCAAAACCAAGTGCCCCACAGATAACCAATCTCCTTTCAAGAAACAACTCCTAGTTTGCTACTCAGCTCTGGTAGAGACCAAATACCCAACCACAGGCCAAAAAGTAGCCATATGACCTAAGCTGCCCGCTATGAACTGGATGTTATCTGATCCATCAAGCTGTAAGTTTGGATATGCGAAGCAGCAATCCATCATCAGGAGAAAATGGTATGTAAGTCCCAGCAGGTCCTGAAGGTACCGATAAGCTGCATGAGCAGTTGGCTCAGACTCCACTGCATCGCCAACTATCCCTTAACACACACAATTACCTATTTCCAGTTGGCTGAGGAAAATAAATTAGGGCTTGGCTGATAGATGATTCTCCATGTTATCCTGTCAAACCAGAAACAGACTGCTGTAGCATTATGTCCCTGGTTATAGGGTGCCTCTTGAAAGACAGAGGTGAAGGGAAATCCTTTCAGTGGCCAGAACTTTGATCAGTACTTTAGCTTTTCTACTCTGCCTGGATGGAGAAGTGGCCAGAAGTATTGATCTAAACTGATTTGTGGACAGTGGCTAATATTTTGACTTAAATGATCAGGGGCCTGGAAAAAACATGATTGGTAGATTGGTGATGAGGAGATCTTGGAGAAAATTATGTAGATGAAGTTTCCCAATAGTAGATGGTCAAGGTCAAGATAGCCTGTCCTGTGGATTTCAGTCTGCCTTTTCACCAGACACCCAGATACTTGCTCAATGAGCTTATACACATAATGTCCATGGTGGCAGAAATGGAGGTTATGGATGGGTGCAACAACATGGACTTGTTTCTCACTGATGCTGATCTGGCTACCATCATTACTGAGTGCCTAACTTGCCAACAGCAGAAACCAATGCTGAGCTCCCAACATGGCATCATTCCTCAGTTGAATCAGCAAGCAGGTGATTATATGAGACCATTTCCATCAGGAAAAAAAAGCAGCAATATTTCTATCTGGAATGGAAACTCTAGATATGGATTTGCCTTTTGCGGTAGGCAAAATTCTAGGAAATCTCCCAATCCCCACTTCCTGATGTACACACACTGTATAATCTCCTGGACTGTGACTATGACAGATTTTACTCATATAATTACTTATGTTATATGGCATGGCTGACTTTAAGAAAAAGATATAAGCACGGTGGGCCTGACCTAATTACCCCCTTTAAAAGCAGAGAGTTTTCTACCACTGGTGGCAGTAGAGGAAGTCAGAGATTCAAAATATGAGGATTTAACATGTAGTTGCTGACTTGAAGATACAGGGAACCACATGGTAAGGAATTCATGCAGCTCCTATGGGCTCAGAACATCCTCAAGCTCATAGCCAGCAAGGCAATAGGGACCTCAGTCTTACAGCTGCAGAGATTGAATTCTTCCAACAACAAGAATGGGCTTGAAAGTAGAAATTTCTAGTTCTAGATCCCTGAGGAATCGCCACACTGACTTCCACAATGGTTGAACTAGTTTACAGTCCCACCAACAGTGTAAAAGTGTTCCTATTTCTCCACATCCTCTCCAGCACCTGTTGTTTCCTGACTTTTTAATGATTGCCATTCTAACTGGTGTGAGATGGTATCTCACTGTGGTTTTGATTTGCATTTCTCTGGGGACTGTTGTGGGGCTGGGGGAGAGGGGAGGGATAGCATTGGGAGATATACCTAATGCTAGATGACGAGTTAGTGGGTGCAGCGCACCAGCATGGCACATGTATACATATGTAACTAACCTGCACATTGTGCACATGTACCCTAAACTTAAAGTATAATAATAATAAAAAAAAAGAAAGTAGAAATTTCCCCAGAGCCTCCAGCTGAGAACTCAGTGCAGCCAACACCTTGATTTCAGCCTGTGACACCGTTAACAGAGAACTGAGTCATTCCCTGCCAGCTTTCTTATCTACAGGATGGTGAGCTAATAAATGGGTACTGTTTTAAGCCTCTAAGTTGTGATTGTTTGTTTGAAAGCAATAGAAAACTAATATGCTTTACCTGAATGCAATGACCTACTGAAGACTACAGCACCAGTTGGAAGTTACAGTGCTAGTTGGACAAAAACACCTGGCGAAATTAGTACTCTAATCTACAAGATATGAACTATGCTTTGAACCAGTCACAAATACATGGCTTTTTCTTCCATAGCCAAAAATACATGGATCCAGGAATCACAACAGGTGGCAATTAGAGTAGATCCTATTTCTCTTACATCTAATAACATAACTTTGTGTTCTGCTGCTTAGAAGTCTAAGATCCCGAGGAAGAAATGCTTCCACTTGAGAAGATGATATTTCCATTTAATTGGAAGCTGAGGTGATCATCTGTTCATTTGGGGATCCTCACACCATTGAGCCAAAAGGCAGATAAGGGTGAGGGTGATCGATCCCTATTATCAAGGGAAATTTGGGTTGCTTCTACAAAATGGGGGGCTATATCTAAATCTCAAGGGAGTCTCTGGGGCACCATTTCATATTTGGATATCCAATAGTAAAAATTAATTTAAAAACTAGAGTAATGCAAATAAGAAAGGACTACTAAGGTCTCAGATCCTTCAGGAATTAAGTTTGGGATCACCTCACCATGTAAAGACTCAATGAACTGATTTTCTGTCTGACAGTAAAGCAAACATGGAAAGGATAGTAGAAGGAAGACATTAGAAAGATCAACTATGGCCTTGTGACCAGTTATAGAAACAAGAATGTAGCAGCTCTGCATATTACTTCCTTGATTGTTACGAGTATATTAACTGGTTTATCCTTTGTTCTTCTTTTCTCTATTATTTTAATTAAAAAGTGTTACTATTATCTGAATGGCTATTTCTACATCCCATTGTGCTCTTTCAGCTTTCCAACTCCTATGTTAACATTTTTCTATATTAAATCTCCAGTTTAAATATGTAGCATAGTTTCTGTTTAATTCAGTGAACCCCAGCTGACATATCATTCTCTCCTCTCCTCATCAGACCTCGGTCACTGACTATAGTTTTGCATTATACTTCCACCACCCCTCCCCCAAGCTATGTATCTATTCTGTGTTAATTTCTTATTAACAATAAGAAATTCACTATACATATTGCATGTCAATTTTCAGAAACTCAGAATTTCATGTGGTAGTCTTCCCAGGACTTCAAGAACTATAAATGATGGTAGAAAGATGGTGGGCAAGTGGTAAGGAGCCACAGTTGCTTTGGAGGCTATATGGGAGGGAAGATGTCACTGTCTGATATACTGGCATAGCTATTTAAACGTGGGCAACAATAAGGGATTTAAATGGTAACCTTTACACATAGGAACTAAGGGATCTGGATGGCTACCAGAATGAAACTTTCTTCCTTACCTTAAAAATACACTTTTAAAAAGAGATTTAATAAAAATTACCTATGCACAGCCAATATAAAAATAAAGGTAAGTTTTCAAAGAGTCCCAGTAGTTTTATTTAGAACTAATTAAATAAAAAGTCCAATTGGTTGCTTGTTCTAATAAAGAAATATATTATAAATGAAATTGCCTGTTTGATAGAGGCAGATTGTTTGACTTGGCATAAATTATATTTTTAAAGAAATACATTTTAATGGAAAAAATTGTCTGGCATATAATAACCTTATTTTCTTCAAAATTAAAACAGAGGACTAGAAAATGAAAAGATTATGCAACCATTCTGCAAGTTTATTGGCAAAATGAATGAATGTGTGTTTTGGTTGTTCTGCAGAGAATTGACCTAATTGAAAGAGAAATGTGATGCCTGGTGACAGAGCTGAATAATTGTCTTTTAGAAAAAAGGAGTCAAATAATTATTCATCTTCTGTATTTCTTCCACATAGAATTTATGATGACTGTTTCAACCCTGAGAAATAACTCATACCCCCGAAAAAAGTCCAAACCGGAGACTCTAATATTTGTAGTTTAATTTGGGGCTTTTATTAGCAAAACCAGCATTTCTTTATCACTATAATCTCTGATTAATCAGAAACCGTCCTTCATCCAAAAAGGTAATATTGCTGACTCACTACCTATAAGACATGAGTTCTAAGGTTGTTGGGGTGGGGAGTTGTTTTTGGTTTTGGTTTGTGGGGGATTTTTGTTTGTTTTTCCAGAAGAAGTTTAAATTTTTTTCTGATACATCCATAATCCCTGGCTCTTTTCCTCCTGACCAAAGCATGGATTTATTGTGGTGGGTCTGTAGCTAGAAACACATTAATGCTAAATAGGCATACAATAAGGAAAAAAAAAATCTATCAACATTGCCTCCCTACCCCATAGCCAAAATAAGAAAATCTTCAAAATTTGCTCATTTCTCTTAATTACCAGGAAAGTGTGAGCTCCTTTGAGAAGTAATCTTGTTTTTCTTTGTATTCCTAGTTTCTAAATAATGTACTCAATAAATGTTGATTTGTACAATGGATCACCTAAGCTTCAGAATAGACTGTTTATGGAGCAATACCAGTTATTTGACCAGGCTGCTAAACCATGTTCTTAGAAAAATATATAAGGTGAAAATACTTTCTTAATTGAGTTTTTACTCTTATTGCCATTTAGAATAGTAGTGTTCACAACCTTAATTTCAAAACCACTATCTTATGCTTTATATCCCTTAATGTCCAAGAAATGAGACCTATTATAGGATAATGAAAGTTGTTAAGGGTTCAGTTACTCTTATAAATCAGCTTCTCAGAAGTAAAATAAACTACCACTCTTTTAATTCATTTGACATTTATTGAATAACAAGTTGTGTGCTAAATGTTGTGAATACAAAGATGAATAAGAGAAAAGTCCAAGTCTTAAAAGACTACACAATTTAGTTGATCAAACAGATTTCTGTAATGCAGTATAGAGTTATACTGCAGGATATTATGAGACAGCAAACAGAGGGCCCCTGTTCCAGCCCAGAGAGCTCAAGGAAAGTTTCCTAGGCCGAGTCTTAAAGAAAAAGTAGGAGGTGGTCAGGCAAAAGGACAGTTTAAGCAAAGACAGAAAGAGCAGAAAGAACATGGTGTGTAGGAGGAAGTACAAACATTTTTGTGTCACTGAAGCATAGTGAAGAAAAGAGTAGCAGAAGATGGCAAAAAAAAGGCATGCAGTAGCTAGATAACAGAGAAAAATGAGAGTCAAGTGAAAAGGGAAACCCCTTATAAAACCATTAGCTCTCATGAGACTTATTCACTACCACAAGAGCAGTATGGGGGAAGCACTCCCATGGTTTAATTATCTCCCACCAGGTCCCTCATATGACATGTAGGAATTATGAGAGCTAAAATTCAAGATGAGATTTGGGTGTGGACACAGCTAAGCCATATCATTCCACCCCAGCCCCTCCCAAAATCTCATGTCCTCACATTTCAAAACCAATCATGCCTTCCCGGCAGTCCCCCAAAGTCTTAACTCATTTCAGCATTAACCCAAAAGTCCACAGTCCAAAGTCTCATCTGAGACAAAGCAAGTCCCTTCTGCCTATAAGCCTGTAAAAGCAAAAGCGAGTTAGTTACTTCCTAGATACGATGGGGGTACAGGCATTGGGTAAATATGGCCATTCAAAATGGGAGAAACTGGCCAAAACAAAAGGGCTACAGGCCCCATGCAAATTCGAAATCCAGCAGGGCAGTCAAATTTAAAGGTCCAAAATGATCTCCTTTGACTCCATGTCTCACATCCAGGTCACATTGATGCAAGAGGTGGGTTCCCATTGTCTTGGGCAGCTCTACCCCTGTATCTTTGGAGGGTATAGCCTCCCTCTTGGCTGCTTTCATGGGCTGGCATTGAGTATCTGCGGCTTTTCTAGGTGCATGATGCAAGCTGTCGATAGATCTACCATTCTGGGGTCTGGAGGATGGTGGCCCTCTTCTCACAGCTCCACTAGGGAGTGCCCCAGTGGGGACTCTGTGTGGGAGCTCACGCCCCACATTTCCCTTCTGCCCTGCCCTAGCAGATGTTCTCCATGAGGGCTCTGCCCCTGTAGCACATCTCTTCCTGGACATACAGGCATTTCCATACATCCTCTGAAATCTAGGCAGAGGTTTCCAAACCTCAATTATTGACCTCTGTGCACCTGCAGGCCCAACACCACGTGTAAGCCTCCAAAGCTTGGCGCTCACACCCTCTGAAGCAACAGCCTGAGGTTTACATTGGCCCATTTTAGCCAGGGCTGGGATGCAGGGCAACAAGTCCTGAGACTGCACAAAGCAGCAAGGCCCTGGGCCCAACCCACAAAACCATTTTTTCCTCCTAGGCCTCTGGGACTGTGATGGGAGGGGATGCCGTGAAGACTTCCAACATGCCCTGGAGACATTTTCCCCATTGTCTTGGTAATTAACATTTGGCTCCTCATTACTTATGAAAATTTCTTCAGCCAGCTTGAATTTCTCCTCAGAAAATGTTTTTTCCTTTTCTTTGGCATTGTCAGGTTGAAATTTTTCCAAACTTTTACACTCTGTTTCCCTTTTAACACTTAATGCTTTTAACAGTGCCCAAGTAACCTTTTGCTTTGCTGCTTAGGAATTTCTTCCATCAGATACCCTAAATCATCTCCCTCAAGTTCAAAGTTCCACAGATCTCTAGGGCAGGGGCAAAATGCCACCAGTCTCTTTGCTAAAACATAGCAAGAGTGACCTTAATACAGTTCCCAACAAGTTCCTCATCTCCATCTGAGATCACCTCGGCCTGGATTTCATTGTCCATATCATTATCAGCATTTTGGTCAAAGCCATTCAACAAGTCTCTAGGAAGTTCCAAACTTCCCCGCATTTTCCTATCTTCTTCTGAGCCCTCCAAACTGTTCCAACCTCTGCCTGTTACCCAGTTCCAAAGTTGCTTCCACATTTTTGGGTATCTTTACAGCAGTGCCCACTACCTGGTACCAATTTACTGTATTAGTCTGTTCTCACACTGCTAAATAAGACATACCCAAGACTGGGTAACTTAGAAAGGAAAAAGGTTTAATAGACTCACAGTTCCACATGGCTGGGGAGGCCTCATAATCATGGTGGAGGGCAAAAGGCATGTCTTACATGGCAGCAGACAAAAGAGAAAATGAGAACCAAGTGAAAAGGGAAACCCCTTATAAAACCATTAGATCTCATGAGACTTATTCACTATGATGAGAACAGTATGGGGGAAACCACTACCACGATTCAATTATCTCCCATGAGGTTCCTCCCACAACACATTGGAATTATGGGAGCTACAATTAAGATGAGATTTTGGTGGGGACACAGCCAAATGATATCAATGTCCTTATTTCTTTCATTGGTGTTTTATAGTTTTTAGCATACAGATTCTGCACACATTCCGTTAGATTTAAATCTATACATTTCAGTATTTTGGTACTGTTCTTTCAATATTGTATTCCAATTGTTGATTTTTAATATATAGAAATAAAATTGACTTTTTAGATTTATTGACTTTGTATCCTGCAAACTTGCTAAACTCATTTATTATGTCTAGGTGTTTCTTTGTAGACTTGTTGAGGATTTCTGTATAGACAACCATGTCATTTGAGCATAGAAATAGTTTTGTTTCTTTCTTTCTAATCTGGATGTCTTTTATTTTTTCTTCTGGACTTACTGCACAAGGATAAGACTTCCAGTAAGCTGTTGAACAAGAATAGGGGGAGGAAATATCCTTGTCTTGCTCCTCATTGTATAGAGAAGCATTAGTCTTTCATCATTCAGTATGATGTTAGCTGTGGGTAACTCAGGTAAAGGGAGTTTACCTGAGCCTTCTATTCCTAACATGCTGAGATTTTTTTCAAAAAATCATTAATAGATGTTAAATTTTGTCAAATGCTTTTTCTGGTTCTATTGAGATGATATGTCTTCTTTGATCTCTTAATATAATTAATAATGTTAATTACATTGGTTGATTTTTGAGTGTTGAACCAGTCCTAGATTCCTGTGGTAAATCCCACTTGGTTATGATACATGATTCTTCTTATGTATTGCTGGATTCAATTTTCCAACATTTTAGTAGAGGATTTGTGTATCTTTATTCATGAGGAATATCAGTTTGTGATTTCGTTTTCGTGTAATGTCTTTATTTGTGTTTCATATCAGGATAATGCTAGCCTCAAAATTGAGTTGAAGTGTGTGTTCTCCAATTTTGTTATTTCTATTTTTCTAAATAAGTTTTGGTGATTTGTATTTTTCTTGGTATTTGTTCATTACACTCAATTTGTCAAATTTATGGACATAGAGCTGTTTTTAGTACTAATTCATCATTTTAACATCTATAGGGTCTATAGTGTTCCTTGTTTTATTCCTGACTTTTTTTGTAGCCATTCTGATAAATGTTTAGTGGTATGTCATTGTGGTTTTAATTTTCACTTCTTTGATGACTAATAATATTAACCATCATTTCATTGCTTTTGACTTCTGTGTTTTTTCCTTGTTGTCTTCATATATCTGCCCATATTCTAATTTCATTGTTTGTTTTCTTACATTTGACTTTTGAGACGAAGAGAGTTCTTTATACATTATAGATATTAGTCTTTTGTTGGATATGTGCTTCACAAATATATTCACACAATCTGCAGCTTTGTCTTTCCATCCTCATCACATTGTCTTTCACAGATCAAAGTTTTAATATTGATGATGCCCAATTTATTAATTTTACCTTTCATAAGTCTTGCTTTTGGTGACAAGTCCAAGAATTCCTTACTCAACTTGACATTCCAAAGATTTTTAAAAGATTTATAGTTTTACATTGTACATTTAAGTCCATCACACATTTTGAATTACATCATGTATTTATCATTATAGTATCAAACAGAATACTTTCGCCACCTTAAGAATGCCATGTGCTCTACCTATTCATTCTCTCTTTCCTCCCTCTTCCTAAATCCTTGGCAACCACTGATATTTTTACTGTCTCTATAGTTCTGCCTTTTCCAGAATGTCATATAGTGGGAATCATACAGCATACAGCCTTTTCAAACTGTCTTCTTTCACTTAGTCATATGCATTTAAGGTTCATTCATGTCTTTTCATAGCTTGATAGTTCATTTGTTTTTATCACTGAGTAATAGTCCATTGACCATGATTTGTGTATCTTCATCTATTGAAAGACATCTTGGTTGCTGCTAGGTTTTGGCAAGAATAACAGTGCTATTAATATAAGTATTTGAGTGCAGTGTTTTATGTGGACATAAGTTATTTTTTAACTCATTTGGGTATATACCAAAAAGTATGACTGCTGAATCATATGGCAAAAGTATGTTTAGTTTTGTAAGAAACTTTCCATCTGTCTTTCAAAGTGGCTATACCATTTTGCATTCCTACCAGCAATGAATGCTAGTTTCTGTTGCATCTTTGTCATCATTTGATGTTGTCAGTGCTTTCGATTTTAGCCAGGTGTGTGATGATAGCTCATTATTGTTTTAATTTGCAATTCCCTGATGACATATGATGTTGAACACGTTTTCATTTCCTTATTTGCCATTTGTATATCTTCTTTGGTGAGGTATCCTTTCTTTCTTTCTTTCTTTCTTTTCTTTTTTTTCTTTTTCTTTTTTTTTTCGAGACAGAGTCTCACTCTGTCACCCAGGCTGGAGTGCAATGGCAGGATCTCAGCTCACTGCAGCGTCTGCCTCCCAGGTTAAAGCAATTTTCATGATTCAGCCTCCTCACGTGGCTGCGACTACAGGTGCACCAACAACCCCAGCTAATTTTTTGTATTTTAGTAGAGACGGGGTTTCACCATGTTCCCCAGGCTGGTCTCAAACCCCTGAGCTCAGGCAATCCACCCACCTCGGCTTCACAAAATGCCAAGATTACAGGCATAAGCCACTACACCAGGCCAAAAATTGGGTTGTTTTCTTATTGTGGAGTTTAAGAGTTTCTGTGTATCTCCTTTTTTTATTATTATTATTATTATTATTATTATTATTATTATTATTTTGAGATGGAGTCTGGCTCTGTTGCCCAGGCTAGAGTGCAGTGGCACCACCTCGGCTCACTGCAACTTCTGCCTCCAGGGTTCAAGCCATTCTCTTGCCTCAGCCTCCTGACTAGCTGGGATTACAGGCATGCACCACCATACCCAGCTAATTTTTTGGATTTTTAGTAGTGCACCATGTTGACCAGGCTGGTCTAGAACTCCTGACCTCAGGTGTTCCTCCCACCTCGGCCTCCCAAAGAGCTGGGATTCCAGGCATGAGCCACTGCACCCAGCCTGAGTTTTTGTGTATTTTCAATACAAGTCTTTAATCGATATTTTCTCCAAATCTGTTTATTTTCTTTTCTCTTCATTGTGTATTTCATAGAACAGAAGTTTTTAATTATAATGAAATCCAACTTATCAATTTTTTCATTCAAGAATCATGCATTTGATGTTGTATCTAAAAAGTCATCAGCAAACCCATGGTTATCCAGATATTTTTTCTGTTACTTTTCTAGATACTTTACACTTTTGCACTTTACATTTAGATCTATAATCCATTTTGAGATAATTTTGTGAAAACTAAGTTCTGTGTCTAACTTTTTTTTTTGCATATGGATATCCAGTTGTTCTAACATCACTTGTCAAAAAGCCTATCCTTTCTCCTTTGAATTGCCTTTGATCCTTTGTCAAAGATCAGTTGAGTATATTTTTGTAGGTCTATTTCTGAGCTCTCTACTTTGTTCCATTGATCTAGCCATGCATTCTTTTGCCAATACTATAATGCCTTGATTACTGTGGCTTTATAGTAAGTCCTGAACTTGAGTAGTGTCAGTCCTTTGACTACATTCTTCTTCAGCATTGTGTTGACTATTCTGGGCATTTTGCCCTCCTATTAAACTTTAGAGTCAGTTTGTCTGTATGTACAACATATTTTGCTGGAATTTTGATTGGGATTGTGTTGAATCTATAGATCAGTTTGGGAAGAACTGACCTCTTAACAACATTGAGTTTTCCTATCCTCAAACATATAATATGTTGAAGTATTGAAATCTCCTACTATATATAATGAGAGACTTGTCTATTCCTCTTGGCAGTTCTATCACTTTTGGCCTCCCATATTTTGATGCTTTGTTCTTAGGCACATACATATTCAGGATTGTTTTGTCTTCTTGGAAAACTGTCCCCTTTGTCATTATGTAATGCCCCTCTTTATCCCTGATAATTTTATTTGCTTTAAAGTCTGCCTTGTCTCATATTAATGTAGCCACTCCAGGTTTATTTTGATTAGTGTTAGCATGGTATATCTTTCTCTATACCTTTACTTTTAGTCTATCTGTGTCTTTATATTTAAAGATTTCTTATAGCTAACATATAGTTGGTTCTTACTATTTTATACAATTTATAGTCACAGTCTTTTAATTGGTATATAGATTATTTACAGTTAAAGTGATTATTGATATGGTTACATTAATATTGACCATATTTGTAACTCTATTCATTGCCATTATCTTTTGTTTCTTTTTTTGTCTTCCACCACTTTTCTACATTCCCTGGTTTTAATTGAGCATTTTATATAATTCCATTTTCTCTTCTTTCTTAGCATATAAATTAGACTTTAAAAAATTTTGTTAGTAGTTGCCTTGGGGTTTGAAATATATATTTACAACTAACCCAAGTATTGGCTAAAATAACTCTATGCCAAACCTCATGTTATAAGGTACTGTGGGTACCTTATAACAGTATTCTCAATTCCTCCCTCCTGTCCCTTATAACATTGCTCTCATTTACTTCACTTATCCATAATCTATAGTCATCCAATATATAGTTGCTGTTATTACTTTAGGAAAATGCTATAAGTCAGATCAATTAGGAAAGGAAAAATAAAATAATTAACCCTTAATTATTCCTTCACTAATACTCTACCATTCTTTATGAAAATCTGAGTTTCTGACCTATATTATTTTTCTTCTTTCTGAAGAGCTTCTTTTAACATTTCTTGAAAGGCAAGTCTACTGGCAACAAATTCCCTCGAACTATTTTTGTCTGAGAGAGCTTTTATTTCTTCTTCACTTTTGCAAGACAATTTTGCTGAATACAGATATCTAGATTGGAGGAGTTTTGTTTTTTCAGCACTTTAAGTATTTCACTACACTCTTCTTGCTCGTATAGTTTCTGAAGAAAAAGTTTGATATAATTTACACCTTTTACTTCAATAGTAAGGATTTTTATCCCTCTGGCTTCATTCAACATTTTCTCTGTCTTTCATTTTTGGCACTTTGACTATGATATGCTTAGGTGAAGATAATCCTGCTTGGTGGTCTCTTAGTTTCCTGAATGTGCAATTTGGTTTATGTCACTAATTTTAGAAAATTCTCAGCCATTATAGCTTCATATATTTCTTTATCCCTTTCTCTCCTTCATCTTTTTCTGGTATTCTCATTTTGTACATGTTACACTTTTTATAATTGCCCCATATCCAGTTGGATTTTTTCATTCCTTACTGTCTTTGTTTTTGAGTTTAGGAAGTATCTATTGACAGATGCTTAAGCTCACTAATTCTTTCCTCAGCCGGTTCCAGTCTACTGATGTGTCCACCAAAGGCATTCTTCATTTTTCTTACAGAGTTTTGATTTCTAGAATTTCCTTTTGATTCTTAGGGTTTTTATCTCTCTACTGAAATTACCCATTTGTTTTTGCGCGTTGTTTGCTCTTCTGTTAGAACCATTAGCATATTAACTATTGTTATTTTAAATTTCCATTTTAATAATCCCCAGATATCTGCCATATCTAAGTCTGGTTCTGATGCTTGGTCCAATTCTTCAGGCTTTTTGTTCTACCTTTTATTTAGTATGTCTTTTAATTTAAAAAAAGTTTCTTTAAAGCCAGACATGATGTATCAGGAAATGTACTGAGAAAAATAGGTCTTTAGTGTAAGGTTTTATGTTTATCTGGGTAAGAGTTAGGCTATGTTACTGTTTGTCATAACTGTAAATGTCAGAGACTAAAATTTCCTCTAGTGTCCTTGTTTTTGTCTTCCACATTGCTTTTGGGTTTCTCCTGAAATTTCTTCTCAAATGCAGCCTAGATCTTGTAGTTCTATTCAACTATAATCCTCTATTATTATACAAGAGGCTTGTTGAATTCTTATAAGATGTGGCAGAAGAGGAAGCATTTTACATTGCTATTAATAAGTCTCCATCATTTACTTGACCAGTGCTTCTGTGCTGTAACCTTCACAAGTGCGTCTCAGCTTTTTCTCTTCCTTATGTGAGAAAGGAAGGCTAGACGCGGCTAGAGTTGTGTATTACCCCTCCCCCATTATAAAGGCTAGATGGGGTTACAGATGGGTATTTCCCTTCTTCCACACTGGTTAAGCTCTCATAACACCCGCATGGGTTAGGCTTTGATAAAATAGTTTCTCCTTGGGTTAAAAGATTTTGTTTGCAAGCCCCATAGTAATCTCAAGTCTAAAAACCTACAAAACATACACAAAACATAAAAAGCAAGAAATGAAACCATACCACCAGAGAAAATCATCTTCACAAAAAGGAAGGAAGGAAGGAAGGAAGGAAGGAAGGAAGGAAGGAAAAGAGATCACAAAACAACCAGAAAACAAATACCAAAAGGGCAATAGTAAGTCCATATTTATAAATAATAACACAGAATGTAAATAGACTAAACTATCCAAACAAGACATAGAATGGCTGAATGGATTAAAAAAAAAAAAAGACCCACTAATTTGTTGCCTACAAGAAACACACTTCACCTATAAAGACACACAAAAACTGAAAATAAAGGGACAGAAAAAGATATTCCACGCCAATAGAAACCACAAAACAGCAGGAGTAGCTAAACTTATATCAGAAAAAATATATTTCAATACAAAAACTATGAAAAGAGACAAAGAATGTCATCATATAATGATAAAGGGGTCAACTCAGCAAGAGGCTATAACAATTTTAAATATGTATGCACCTGACACAAAATCACCCAGATATATAAAGCAAATATTGTTATAAATAAAGAGATACACAGACCCCAATACAATAACAGGAAACTTTAACACCCCACTTTCAGCATTGCACAGATCTTCCAGACATAAAATCAACAAAGAAACATCAGATTTAATCTGCACTATAGACCAAATGGATCTAATAGAAATTTACAAAACACTTCATCCAGTGGCTGCAGAATACACATTCTCTCCCTCAGTACATGAATTATTCTCAAGGATAGACCATATGTTAGGTCATAAAACAAGTCTTAAAGCATTCAAAATTGAAATTATATCAGTTATCTTCTCTTACCACACTGGAATAAAACTAGACATCAATAAGAGGAATTCTGGAAAGTATACAAATGCATGAGGACTTTATAATATACTATGGAATGACCAGCGAGTCAATGAAGAAACTAAGAAGGAAAACTTAAAATTTCCTTCTTAATTTTATTGTGACAATGGGAACAAAACATACCAAAACCTATGGCATGTAGTGAAAGCAATACCAAGAGGAAAGTTTATAGCGATAAGCTCCTGCATCAAAAAAGAAGAAAAACTTCAAATAAACAACCTAACAATGCATCTTAAAGAACTAGAAAAGCAAGAGCAAACTAAACCCAAAATCATTAGAATAAAAGAAATAGTAAAAATCAAGCACAAATAAATGAAAGTGAAATAAAGAAAACAATATAAATGATCAATGAAATGAAAGGTTGGTGTTTTGAAAACATAAATAGAATCAACATACCTTTAGCCCAACTGAGAAAAAAGAAAAAAAAAATCCACATAAACAAGATCAAAGACAAAAAAGGAAGCACGGGGCCACAATGCACTGGGACTTGTTCCTTTCCCCCAATGACTCCTGCGGAGGGGGTGAGTTGAACAGGCAAGGAGCAACCCAATCTCACCACAGGCCTCTGAAATTCTGGCAGGAGGAGACCCCTCAACCACCATGGACACTTGAGTTGGCAGAAAAAGCTGGCTAGAGAAGTGATAAGGGCAGAACTCCAGCCAGAGTGGAGCCCAGAGGGTTTGCTGTGAGAACACCTATAGTGGAGCATGGCCAGGGATGCCCAATCCCCTAGGCTCAACTTGCTCCCATAGGAGACTTCAGTCCTAGGAGAACTGTCAGACCTGAACTCTGCAAGGTGGTCCTGCCCAAGAGATGGGGCTGGTCCAACCTGAGCACTCCTTGGTCTGCTGGCCTCTCCTAGGGCCGCAGTCTGACCATGCCTTGCTTGCAGTGCAGCCCCAGGTACTTCGTGCACATGACCAGCAGAGTGCTTCAGCAAAGAGGCCCCTAGGAACATGTACCAACCTGCCTGTGCCCTCCCTGCTCTGCAGCCTCCCCAGTGCTGTTTTGCCTGCAGGCACTCGCCCATGGCCACCTCCCACATGTGCCAGCACATTTGTGTGCAGGCAGACCTTGCTTTCCCTTCCCACCCACCCCATGCCCACCAGTGCCCTGCACCTGTGCCAACGCTGCTGCCAGTGCAAAACAAGGCATGGGAAACTGTAAACCCACCCACAGAACTGAGCAGCCACTACCACCAATGTGAACAAGCAGAGGGCGCACACAGTCCTGTGCACACAAGCACCCTTCCCCCATGCTAACACCACCACCAGTGTGAATGCATGCACAGTCACTGGCAGAGGTCCCCCGCCATCCCATCAATATGTACTGCTACCACTGTTGCTGCAAATGCTTGCAAAGAAGCCAGCACCCCAGCACCCAATAGCACCCTGCTGCAGCTGACGAGTATGCATGCTGCTATGCTGCCACTGCTGCTGGTATGTGTGAACGAAGATAAGTCCTGCTGCCATCACTCTATGAAATGTGTTGGCAGGCACCACCAATTGGAAAGTTGTGACCAGCAGTCTGGGAGCACCTTGATCCCTCCAGCACAGCAATTTCCTAACTTCAAGAAGCCAGAGAACAAAGCTGGGACCCAATACTAGTCCCCCAGAGTTAGAGCATGTATTCCAGGAGTCCTAAGCTGAGCCTTGGCCTGCTAAAACCTTCCAGTAATGAAGTCAGTCAAATGAACACTCCTTATACCACAATCAAACACCTAATAGCATCAAATAGGGTAAAAGAAAAAAAAATCATCCAAAGAACAGCAACTTAAAAGACTGAAGAATCATCAGCCCACAAAGATGAGAAAGAAACAGCTCAAGAACTCTGACAACTGAAAAATCCAAAGTGTCTTCTGTCCTCTAAACTATTACACCAGTTCTCCAGCAAGAGTTCTTAACCAGGCTGAGATGGCTGAAATTACAGAAATATAATTCAAAATATGGATAGCAACAAAGATCATCAAGAATCAGGAGAATGTTGAAACCCAATCTAAGGAAGATAAGAATCACAAAAATCTATACAAGAAATGAAGGACAATATAGCCAGTATAGAAGAGAAGGTAACCAACCGACCTGATAAAGCTGAAGATCGCACTACAAGAATTTCATAATGCAATCACAAGTATTAAAAGCAAAATAAACCAAGCTGAGGAAAGAATTTCAGAGCCTGAAAACTTGCTTTCTGAAATAAGATAGTCAGAAAATAATCTTAAAAACAATGAAAAGGAATGAACAAATCTCAGAGAAGTCTGGGATTATGTAAATAGACTGAATGTACAACACATTGGCATCCCTGAAAGAGATGGGGAGAATGGAAGCAACTTGGAAAACATATCTCAGGATATCATCCATGAGAACTTCCCCAATATAGCTAAAGAGGTTAATGTTCAAAATCAGGAAATGCAGAGAACCCCCACAAAAAAAAAAACACTTAACAAGATCATCCCCAAGACATCTATTCATCAGCTTCTTCAAGGTCAAAATAAAATAAAAAATATTAAAGGCAGGTTAGAGAGAAAGAACAGATCACCTACAAAGGGAAGCCCATCAAACTAATAGTGGACCTCTCAGCAGAAACCCTAAAAGCCAGAAAAGATTGGAGGCCTGTACTCAACATTCTTGAAGAAAAGAAATTCCAATCAAGAATTTCATATCCAGTCAAACAAAGCTTCATAAGCAAAAGAGAAATAAGAGCCTTCTCAGACAAGCAAATGCTGAGGGAATGCATTATCTACCACCACACCTGCCTTACAAGAGCTCATGAAGGAAGCACTAAATGTGGAAAGGAAAGGCCATTACCAGCCAATACAAAAACACACTTAAGAATGAAAACTAGTGACACTATAAAGCAACCACACAAACAAGTCAACATAATAAACATCTAATAACAGGATGACAGGATCAAATTCACAAATATCAATAATAATCTTAAATGTAAACAGGCTAAATGCCCCAATTAAAAGGCACAGGGTGGCAAGCTGGATAAAGAAGCAAGACCCAGTGGTACGCTATCTTCAAGAAACCCATGTCACATGCAACAACACACACAGGCTCAAAATAAATGGATGGGGGAAAATCAAACATGCAAATAGAAAACGAAAAATTAGTTGATGCAGTTTCTTCCTAGCCTTGATGGTCTTTACAATTTGGCATATTTTTGCAGTGGCTGGTACCGGTTGTTCCTTTCCATGTTTAGTGCTTCCTTCAGGAGCTCTTTTAGGGCAGGCCTGGTGGTGACAAAATCTCTCAGCATTTGCTTGTCTGTAAAGTATTTTATTTCTCCTTCACTTATGAAGCTTAGTTTGGCTGGATATGAAATTCTGGGTGGAAAATTCTTTTCTTTAAGAATGTTGAATATTGGCCCCCACTCTCTTCTGGCTTGTAGAGTTCCTGCTGAGAGATCTGCTGTTAGTCTGATGGGCTTCCCTTTGTGGGTAACCCGACCTTTCTCTCTGGCTGCCCTTAACATTTTTTCCTTCATTTCAACTTTGGTGAATCTGACAACTATGTGTCTTGGAGTTGCTCTTCTCGAGGAGTATCTTTGTGGTGTTCTCTGTATTTCCTGAATCTGAATGTTGGCCTGCCTTGTTAGATTGGGGAAGTTCTCCTGGATAATATCCTGAAGAGTGTTTTCCAACTTGGTTCCATTCTCCCCATCACTTTCAGGTACACCAATCAGACGTAGATTTGGTCTTTTCACATAGTCCCATATTTCTTGGAGGCTTTGTTCATTTCTTTTTATTCTTTTTTCTCTAAACTTCCCTTCTCGCTTCATTTCATTCATTTGATCTTCAATCACTGATACCCTTTCTTCCAGTTGATCGCATCGGCTCCTGAGGCTTCTGCGTTCTTCACGTAGTTCTTGAGCCTTGGCTTTCAGCTCCATCAGCTCCTTTAAGCACTTCTCTGTATTGGTTATTCTAGTTATACATTCTTCTAAATTTTTTTCAAAGTTTTCAACTTCTTTGCCTTTGGTTTGAATTTCCTCCTGTAGCTCGGAGTAGTTTGATCGTCTGAAGCCTTCTTCTCTCAACTCGTCGAAGTCATTCTCCATCCAGCTTTGTTCCGTTGCTGGTGAGGAACTGCGTTCCTTTGGAGGAGGAGAGGCGCTCTGCTTTTTAGAGTTTCCAGTTTTTCTGCTCTGTTTTTTCTCCATCTTTGTGGTTTTATCTACTTTTGGTCTTTGATGCTGGTGATGTACAGATGGGTTTTTGGTGTAGATGTCCTTCACCACAAAAAAAAAAAAAGAAAACAATAAAACAGGGGTTGCTATCCTAATTTCGGACAACACAAATTTTAAACAAACAAATATAAAAAAAAGGCAATTAAGGACATTACATAAAGGTAAAGGGTTTAATAGAACGAGAAGACTAACTATCCTAAACATATATGTGCCCAACACAGGAGCATGCAGATTCAGAAAGCAAGTTCTTAGAGACCTTCCATGAGACTTAGACTCCCATGCAATAATAGTGGGAGAATTCAACACCGCACTGACAGTTTTAGACAGATCATCAAGGCAGAAAAAAATATATATTCAGGACCTGAACTCAATAGTGGACCAAATGGATTTGATAAACATCTACAGAACTCACCATCCAAAAACAACATAACATACATTCTTCTCATGTGCACATAAAAATGATCTAAAATCAAAAACACAATTAGATGTAAAACAATCATGGGCAAATTCAAAAGAATTAAAATTATACTAACCACTCTATCAGACCAAACTGCAATAAAAATAGAATTCAAGATGAAGAAAATTGCTCAAAGCCATACAATTACATAAAAATTAAACAACCTACTCCTGAATGACTTTTGGGTGAAAGTGAAATTAAGACAGAAATCAAGAAGTTATTTGAAACTAGTGAGAACAAAGATACAACATACAAGAATCTCTGGACACAGCAAAAGCAGTGTTAAGATGGAAATTTATAGCACTAAACTCCCACATCAAAAACTTAGAAAGATCTCAAATTAACAACCTAACATCACAACCAAAAAAAAAAAAAAAAAAAAAAAAAAACAGAGAAGCAAGAGCAAACCAGCTCCAAAGCTAGCAGAAGACAAAAAGTAGCCAAAATCAGAGCCGAACTGAAGGAGATCGAGACATAAAAAGCCATTCAAAAGAGCAACAAAGCCAGGAGCTGGTTTTTTGAAAAAAAAAAACTTACCAAAATAGATAGACCACAAGCTAGAGAATATTAAGAACACTTCTATGCACATAAACTAGAAAATCTAAAAGACATGGATAAATTCCTGGACACATACACCCTCCCAAGACTGAAGCAGGAAGAAATTGAATCCCTGAACAGACCAATAAAAAATTCTGTAATTGAGGCAATAATAAATAACCTACCAACCAAAAAAGTCCAAGACCAGAAAAATTCACAGCCAAATTCTACCAGATACACAAAGAAGAGCTGGTACCATTTCTACTGAAGCTATTCCAAAAAAAAAATGAGAAGAGACTCCCCCACTAACTCATTCTATGAGGCCAGCATCATCCTGATACCAAAACCTGGCAGAGATACAAAAAAAGAGAAAACTTCAGGACAATATCCTTGATAAACATCAATGCAAAAATCCTCAACAAAATACTAACAAACTGAACCCAGCAACAAATCAAAAAGCTAATCCACCATGATCAAGTTGGCTTCATCCCCAGGATGCAAGATTGGTTCAACATATGCAAATCAACAAATGTGATTTCTGAGATAAACAGAACTAAAGACAAAAACTACATGATTATCTCAACAGACACAGAAAAGGCTTTGATAAAATTCAACATCCCTTCATGTTAAAAACTCTCAACAAAGTAGGTATTGAATGAACTTACCTCAAAATAATAAGAGCCATATATGACAAACCCACAGCCAATATCATACTGAAAGGGTAAAATCTGGAAGCATTTCCCTTGAAAACCAACACAAGACAAAGATGCCCTCTCTCACCACTCCTAGTCAACATAATATTGGATTTCCTGACCAGAGGAATCAATCAAGAGAAAGAAATAAAAGGCATCCAAATAGGAACAGAGGAAGTCAAATTATCCCTGTTTGGAGAGGACATTTTATATCTAGCAAAGCCCATAGTCTCAGCCTAAAAGCTTTCTAAGCTTATGAACAATTTCAGCAAGGTTTCAGGAAACAAAATCAGTATACAAAAATCACTAGCATTCCTATACACAACAACAGTCAAACTGAGAACCAAATCAGGAATGCAATCCCATTCACAATTGCCATAAAAAGAATAAAATACCTAGAATACAGCTAACCAGGGAGGTGAAAAATCTCTACAAGGAGAATTACAAAACACTGCAAAAGAAATCAGACATGAAACAAACAAAAGGAAAAACATTCCATGCTCAGGGATAGAAAGAATCGATATTGTTAAAATGGCCATACTTCTGAAAGCTATTTACAGATTCAATACTATTCCTATCAGACTACCAATGACAGTCTTCACAGATCTAGAAAAAAGTATTTTAAAACTCTTATGGAACCAAAAAAGAGCCTGAATACCCAGAACAATCCTAAGCAAAAAGAACAAAGCAGGAGGCATCATGATGCCTGAGTTCAAACTATACTACAGTAATCAAAATAGCATGGTACTGGTACAAAAACAGACACATAGACCAATGGAACAGAATAGAAAGTCCAGAAATAAGGCCATACACCTAAAACCATCTGATCTTTGACAAGGCTAACAAAAATGAGCAATGGGAAAAGGACTCTTGTTGCGGGAAGTCAGGGGCCCCAAACAGAGGGACCAGCTGAAGCCATGGCAGAAGAACATAAATTGTGAAGATTTCATGGACATTTATTAGTTCCCCAAATTAATACATTTATAATTTCTTACACCTGTCTTTACTACAATCTCTGAATATAAATTGTAAAGATTTAATGGACATTTATCACTTCCCCAATTAATACTGTTGTGATTTCCTATGCCTGTCTTTAATCTCTTAATCCCGTCATCTTTGTAAGCTGAGGATGAATGTCACCTCAGGACCCTGTGATGATTGCATTAACTGCACAAATTGTTTAAACAATATGAAATCTGGGCACCTTGAAAAAAGAACAGGATAACAGTGATATTCAGGGAACCAGGGAGATAACCTTAAAGTCTGGCTGCCTGTGGGCCGGGTGGAACAGAGCCACATTTCTCTTCTTTCAAAAGCAAATAGGAGAAATATCGCTGAATTCTTTTTCTCAGCAAGGAACAGCCCTGAGAAAGAGAGTGCATTCCTAGGGGTAGGCCTCTGAAACGGCTGCTCTGGGAACGTCTGTCTTTTACGGTTGTGAGTAAGGGATGAAATAAGCCCCAGTCTCCCGTAGCGCTCCCAGGCTTATTAGGACGAGGAAATTCCCACTTAATAAATGTTGGTCAGACTGGTTGTCTGCTCTCAAACCCTGTCTCCTGACAAGATGTTATCAATGACAATGCGTGCCCGAAACTTCATTAGCAACTTTAATTTCACCCCGGTCCTGTGATCTCGCCCTGCCTCCATTTGCCTTGTGATATTTTATTACCTTGTGAAGCATGTGATCTCTGTGACCCATACCCTATTCGTACACTCCTTCCCCTTTTGAAAATCACTAATAAAAGCTTCCTGGTTTTGCGGCTTGGGGGACATCACGGAACCTGCCGACATTTGATGTCTCCCCTGGACAACCAGCTTTAAAAATTTCTCTCTTTGTACTCTTTCCCTTTATTTCTCAGACCAGCCGACACTTAGGGAAAATAGAAAAGGACCCATGTTGAAATATCGGGGGCTGAATTTCCCCTGATAGACTCCCTATTCAATAAATGGTGTCATGATGAGTGGTAGCCATATGCAGAAGATTTAAACTGAAACCCTATCTTTAACTGCATACAAAAATTAACTCAAGATGGATTAAAGACTTAAATGTAAAACGAGAAACTACAAAAACCCTGCAGCCCTAGGGGGATGGTGTTAAACCATTAGAACCATAATCCAATCACCTCTCACCAGGCCCCACCTCCAACACTCAGGATCACAATTCAACATGAGATTTGGGTGGGGACAGAGAGCCAAACCGTATCACTACACATCTGACAAAGGTCTAATATCAAGCATCTATAAGGAACTTAGACAAATTTACAAGACAAAAACAACCACATAAAAAAGTGAACAAATGATATGAACAGACACTTTTCAAAAGAAGACACAGATGCAGCCAACAAGCATATGGAAAAAGCTCAATATAACTGATCATTAGAGAAATGCAAATCAGAAACATAATGAAATACCAATTCACATCAGTCAGAATGGCTATTACTAAAAAGTCAAAATTAACAGATGCTGGCAAGGTTGTGGAGAAAACAGAATACTTATAAACTGTTGGTGGAAGTGTAAATTAGTTCAACCATTGTGGAAAGCAGTGTGAAAATTTATCAAAGAGCTCAAAACAGAACTACCATTCAACCCAACAATCCCATTACTGGGTATATACCCAAAGGAATATAAATCATTCCATCACAAAGACACATGCATGGGGATGTTCACTGCAGCACAATTCACAATAGCAAAGACAAGGGATCAACCTAAAGGCCCATCAATGGAAGACTGGATTTTAAAAATGTGGTACATATATACCATGAAATGCTATGCAGCCATAAAAAAGAATGAGATTATGTCCTTTGCAGAAACATGGATGAAGCTGGAAGCCATTATACTTAGAGAACTAATGTACAAACAGAAAACCAAATATTACATGTTCTCCCATACAAGTGGGAGCTAAATGACGAGAACACAGGGACACAACGAGTGGAAAAAGAGCCACTGGGGGCCTACCAGTGGGTGGAGAGTGGGAGGAGGGAGAAGAATAGAAAAAATAAATATTGGGTACTAGGCTTAGTACCTGGGTGATAAAACAATCTGCACATCAAACTTCCATGAAATGAATATACCTATATAACAAGCCTTCACATATAGCCCTGAACCTAAAATAAAAGTTTTTAAACAATAAAAAAAGAAAAAGGAGACAGGACAACTAATACCACAGAAATTCAAAGGATCATTAGTGACTACTATGAGCCACCATATGCCAATAAATTGGAAAACCTAGAAGAAATGGGTAAACTCCAAGACACATAAAATTTATCAAGATTGAACCATGAAGAAATAAAAAACCCAAGGAAAACAATAAGTGATGAGATCAAAGCCATGATAAAACATCTCCCAGTAAAGAAAAGCCCAAGACCCAATGGCTTCACCACTGAATTCTACCAAATATTTAAAAAAGTATTAATGCTAATCCTAAGCAAACAATCCTAACAAAAAGAAAGAAGGAAGGAATATTTCCAAAGTGATTCTATGAGGCCAGTTTTATGGATACTAAAACCAAACAAAGATACATGAAAAAAAGACAATTACAGGCCAACATCCCTGATGAACATTGATACAAAAATCCTCAACACAATACTAGCAAACCAAATTCAAAAACACATTAAAAAGATCATTTATCATGACCAAGTGGAATTTACCCTTGGGATGAAAGAATGATTCTACATATGCAAATCACTCAATGTGAAACATCATATCAACAGAATTAAGGGCAAAACCCCTCTGGTTATTTCAAATGATACTGAAAAAAGCTTTTGATAAAATTCAGTATCCCTTCATGGAAAAAAAAAAACCCTCAGAAAACTGGGTGTAGGAGAAACATATCTTAACACGAAGAAAGCCATATATGACAGACCCACAGCTAGTATCATATTGAAAAATTGAAAGCTTTTCCTTCAAGATCTGGAACAGGACAAGAGTACTCACTTTATGGCTGTTTTTCCACATAGTACTGGAAGCCCTAGCTAGAGCAATCAGACAAGAGAAAAAAAGAAACAGCATCCAAATTGGAAAGGAAGAAGTCAAATTATCCTTGTTTGCAGATGATATGATCTTATATTTGGAAAAACCTAAGTCTACACACACACACATACACACACACACACACACACACACACACACACACACACGATTAGAACTGATGAACAAATTCAGTAAAGTTTCAGGATACAAAATCAACTTACAAAAATCAGAAGCATTTCTATATGCCAACAGCAAACAACCTTAAATAGAAATCAAGAATGTAATTCCAGGTACAAACACTACAGATAAAATTAAATACCTAGGAATTAAGCAAAACAGTGAAAGATTTTCTACAATTAAAACTATAAAACATTGATGCAAAAAATTGAAGAGGACACAAAAAATAAAAAAAATTCCATGTTCCTGTATTCAAAGAATCTATTGTTAAAATGTCTATACTACCCAAAGCAATCTGTAGAGTCAATGCAATCCCTATCAAAGTAACAATGACATTCTTCACAGAAATAGAAAAAATCCTAAAATTTATAAGTAACCAGAAAAGATACTGAATAGCCAAAGCTACCCAGAGCAAAAAGAACTGAACTGGAGGAATCACATTACCTAACTTCAAATTATACTACAGAGCTATAGTAAGCAAAACAGCACGGTACTGGCATAAAAACAGACACATGGACCAGTGGAACAAAATAGACAACCCAGAATTAAATTCAGACATCTTCAGTGAACTCGTTTTTGACAAAAGTGCCAAAGACATACACTGGGGAAAAGACAGTCTCTTTAATAAATAGATATCCATATGCAGAAGAATGAAACTAGACCCCTATCTCTTGCCATGTACAAAATTCAAATCAAAATGGATTGAAGACTTAATTCTAAGACTCCAAATTATGAAACAACTCAAAGAAAACTTTGGGTAAACTCTCTACGACGTTTGGATAGGCAAACATTTTTTGAGTAATACCCTACAAGCCCAAGTAGTCAAAGCAAAAATGGACAAATTGGATCACAGCATGTTAAAAAGCTTCTGCACAGCAAACGAAATAATAAACAAAATGAAGAGACAACCCAGAGAATGGGAGAAAATGTTTGGAAAGTATCCATCTGACAAGGGATTAATAACCAGAATACATTAGGAGATCAAAAACTCAACTAATAATATGATTCTAAAAATGAGCAAAAGATCTGAATATACACTTCTCAAAAGAAGACACACAAATGGAAAAAAGGGATATGAAAAGGTGTGCAAAATTATTGATCATTAAAGAAAGGCAAATCAAATGTACAATGAGTTGTCATCTCACCCTAGTAAAAATGGTTTTTATCTGATATGGTTTGATTCTGTGTCCCCACCCAAATCTCATCTTGAATTGTACTCCCATAATTCCCATACGTTATGGGAGGGACCCGGTGGGAAATAATTTGAATCATGGGGGTGATTTCCCCCATACTGTTCTTGTGGTTGTGAACAAGTCTCACAAGTTCTGATGGTTTTATCAGGGGTTTCCGCTTTTGCATCTTCCTTATTTTCTCTTGCTGCCACGATGTAAGATGTGTCTTTCACCTCCCACCATGATTCTGAGGACTCCTGAGCTAAGTGGAACTGTAAGTCCAATTAAACTTCTTTTTCTTCCCAGTCTCGGGTATGTCTTTATCAGCAGTGTGTAAATGAACTAATACACTATCCAAAACATAGGCAATAATAAATGCTAGTGAGGATGATCAGAAAAGGCAACCAATACACACTATTGGTGAGAATGTAAATTAGTATGGACACTATGGAAAACAGTATAGAGTTTCCTCAAAAACTAAAAATAGAGCTACCACATGATCCAATAATCCCACTACCAGGTATATACCCAAAAAAAAGGAAATCCATATATTGAAACAACCTCTGCCGTCTTATGTATATTGCAGCCCTATTCACAATAGGCAAAATTTAGAAGTAACCTAAGTGTCCATAAACAGACAAATGAATAAACAAAATGTGGTACATATACACAATGGAATACAATTCAGCCATAAAAAAGAATGAGATCCTGTCATTTATAAAAACATGGACGGGGGGAGGAGCCAAGACGCCCGAATAGGAATGGCTCCAATCTACAGCTCCCAGCGTGAGCGATGCAGAAGATGGGTGATTTCTGCATTTCCATCTGAGGTACCAGGTTCATCTCACTAGGGAGTGCCAGACAGTGGGTGCAGGACAGTGGGTGCAGCGCACCGTGTGCGAGCGGAAGGAGGGCGAGGCATTGCCTCACTCGGGAAGCGCAAGGGGTCAGGGAGTTCCCTTTCCCAGTCAAAGAAAGGGGTGACAGACGGCACCTGGAAAATCGGGTCACTCCCACCCTAATACTGCACTTTTCCGACAGGCTTAAAAAACGGTGCACCAGGAGATTATATCCTGCACCTGGCTCGGAGGGTTCTACGCCCATGGAGTCTCGCTGATTGCTAGCACAGCAGTCTGAGATCAAACTGCAAGGCAGCAGCGAGGCTGGGGGAGGGGCGCCCACCATTGCTCAGGCTTGCTTAGGTAAACAAAGCAGCCGGGAACCTCGAAATGGGTGGAGCCCACCACAGCTCACAGAGGCCTGCCTGCCTCTGTAGGCTCTACCTCTGGGGGCAGGGCACAGACAAACAAAAAGACAGCAGTAACCTCTGCAGACTTAAATGTCCCTGTCTGACAGCTTTGAAGAGAGTAGTGGTTCTCCCAGCACGCAGCTCGAGATCTGAGAACGGACAGACTGCCTCCTCAAGTGGGTCCCTGACCCCCAAGTAGCCTACCTGTGAGGCACTGCTTTCGCAGTGGTTCTCCCAGCACGCAGCTGGAGATCTGAGAACGGGCAGACTGCCTCCTCAAGTGGGTCCCTGACCCCTCACCCCCGAGCAGCCTAACTGGGAGGCACCCCCCAGTAGGGGTAGACTGACACCTCACATGGCCGGGTACTCCTCTGAGACAAAACTTCCAGAGGAATGATCAGACAGCAGCATTCGCGGTTCATGAAAAAATGCTGTTCTGCAGTCACCGCTGCTGATACCCAGGCAAACGGGGTCTGGAGTGGACCTCTAGCAAACTCCAACAGACCTGCAGCTGAGGGTCCTGTCTGTTAGAAGGAAAACTAACAAACAGAAAGGACATCCACACCAAAAACCCATCTGTACATCACCAGCATCAAAGACCAAAAGTAGATAAAACCACAAAGATGGAGAAAAAACAGAGCAGAAAAACTGGAAACTCTAAAAAGCAGAGCACCTCTCCTCCTCAAAAGGAACGCAGTTCCTCACCAGCAACTGAACAAAGCTGGATGGAGAATGACTTTGACGAGTTGAGAGAAGAAGGCTTCAGACGATCAAACTACTCCGAGCTACAGGAGGAAATTCAAACCAAAGGCAAAGAAGTTAAAAACTTTGAAAAAAATTTAGACAAATGTGTAACTAGAATAACCAATGCAGAGAAGTGCTTAAAGGAGTTGATGGAGCTGAAAGCCAAGGCTTGAGAACTACGTGAAGAATGCAGAAGCCTCAGGAGCCGATGCCATCAACTGGAAGAAAGGGTATCAGTGATTGAAGATCAAATGAATGAAATGAAGCGAGAAGGGAAGTTTAGAGAAAAAAGAATAAAAAGAAACGAACAAAGCCTCCAAGAAATATGGGACTATGTGAAAAGACCAAATCTACGTCTGATTGGTGTACCTGAAAGTGACGGGGAGAATGGAACCAAGTTGGAAAACACTCTGCAGGATATTATTCAGGAGAACTTCCCCAATCTAACAAGGCAGGCCAACATTCAGATTCAGGAAATACAGACAATGCCACAAAGATACTCCTCGAGAAGAGCAACTCCAAGACACATAGTTGTCAGATTCACCAAAGTTGAAATGAAGGAAAAAATGTTAAGGGCAGCCAGAGAGAAAGGTCGGGTTACCCACAAAGGGAAGCCCATCAGACTAACAGTGGATCTCTCAGCAGGAACTCTACAAGCCAGAAGAGAGTGGGGGCCAATATTCAACATTCTTAAAGAAAAGAATTTTCCACCCAGAATTTCATATCCAGCCAAACTAAGCTTCATAAGTGAAGGAGAAATAAAATACTTTACAGACAAGCAAATGCTGAGAGATTTTGCCACCACCAGGCCTGCCCCAAAAGAGCTCCTGAAGGAAGCACTAAACATGGAAAGGAACAACCGGTACCAGCCACTGCAAAAACATGCCAAATTGTAAAGATCATCGAGGCCAGGAAGAAACTTCATCAACTAACGAGCAAAATAACCAGCTAACATCATAATGACAGGATAAAATTCACACATAACAATATTAACTTTAAATGTAAATGGACTAAATGCTCCAATTAAAAGACACAGACTGGCAAATTGGATAAAGAGTCAAGACCCATCAGTGCGCTGTATTCAGGAAACCCATCTCATGTGCAGAGACACACATAGGCTCAAAATAAAAGGATGGAGGAAGATCTACCCAGCAAACGGAAAACAAAAAAGGCAGGGGTTGCAATCCTAGTCTCTGATAAAACAGACTTTAAACCAACAAAGATCAAAAGAGACAAAGAAGGCCATTACATAATGGTAAAGGGATCAATTCAACAAGAAGAGCTAACTATCCTAAATATATATGCACCCAATACAGGAGCACCCAGATTCATAAAGCAAGTCCTGAGTGACCTACAAAGAGACTTAGACTCCCACACAATAATAATGGGAGACTTTAACATCCCACTATCAACATTAGACAGATCAACGAGACAGAAAGTTAACAAGGATACCCAGGAATTGAACTCAGCTCTGCACCAAGCGGACCTAATAGACACCTACAGAACTCTCCACCCCAAATCAACAGAATATACATTTTTTTCAGCACCACACCACACCTATTCCACAATTGACCACATGGTTGGAAGTAAAGCTCTTCTCAGCAAATGTAAAAGAACAGAAATTATAACAAACTGTTTTTCAGACCACAGTGCAATCAAACTAGAACTCAGGATTAAGAAACTCACTCAAAACCGCTCAACTACACGGAAACTGAACAACCTGCTCCTGAATGACTACTGGGTACATAACGAAATGAAGGCAGAAATAAAGATGTTCTTTGAAACCAATGAGAACAAAGACACAACATACCAGAATCTCTGGGACACATTCAAAGCAGTGTGTAAAGGGAAATATATAGCACTAAATGCACACAAGAGAAAGCAGGAAAGATCCAAAATTGACACCCTAACATCACAATTAAAAGAACTAGAAATGCAAGAGCAAACACATTCAAAAGCTAGCAGAAGGCAAGAAATAACTAAAATCAGAGCAGAACTGAAGGAAATAGGACACAAAAAACCCTTCAAAAAATCAATGAATCCAGGAGCTGGTTTTCTGAAAGGATCAACAAAATTGATAGACTGCTAGCAAGAGTAATAAAGAAGAAAAGAGAGAAGAATCAAATAGACGGAATAAAAAATGATAAAGGGGATATCACCACTGATCCCACAGAAATACAAACTACCATCAGAGAATACTACAAACACCTCTACGCAAATAAACTAGAAAATCTAGAAGAAATGGATAAATTCCTTGACACATACACCCTCCCAAGACTAAACCAGGATGAAGTTGAATCTCTGAATAGACCAATAACAGGCTCTGAAATTGTGGCAATAATCAATAGCTTACCAACCAAAAAGAGTCCAGGACCAGATGGATTCACAGCCAAATTCTACCAGAGGTACAAGGAGGAACTGGTACCATTCCTTCTGAAACTATTCCAATCAATAGAAAAAGAGGGACTCCTCCCTAACTCATTTTATGAGGCCAGCATCATCCTGATACCAAAGCCAGGCAGAGACACAACCAAAAAAGAGAATTTTAGACCAATATCCTTGATGAAAATTGATGCAAAAATCCTCAATAAAATACTAGCAAACCGAATCCAGCAGAACATCAAAAAGCTTATCCACCATGATCAAGTGGGCTTCATCCCTGGGATGCAAGGCTGGTTCAATATACGCAAATCAATAAATGTAATTCAGCATATAAACAGAACCAAAGACAAAAACCACATGATTATCTCGATAGATGCAGAAAAGACCTTTGACAAAATTCAACAACACTTCATGCTAAAAACTCTCAATAAATTAGCTATTGACGGGACGTATCTCAAAATAATAAGAGCTATCTATGACAAACCCACAGCCAATATCAAACTGAATGGGCAAAAACTGGAAGCATTCTCTTTGAAAACTGGCACAAGACAGGGATGCCCTCTCTCACCACTCCTATTCAACATAGTGTTGGAAGTTCTGGCCAGGACAATCAGGCAGGAGAAGGAAATAAAGGGTATTCGATTAGGAAAAGAGGAAGTCAAATTGTCCCTGTTTGCAGATGACATGATTGTAGATCTAGAAAACCCCATTGTCTCAGCCCAAAATCTCCTTAAGCTGATAAGCAACTTCAGCAAAGTCTCAGGATACAAAATCAATGTACAAAAATCACAAGCATTCTTATACACCAATAACAGACAAACAGAGAGCCAAATCATGAGTGAACTCCCATTCACAATTGCTTTAAAGAGAATAAAATACCTAGGAATCCAACTTACAAGGGACGTGAAGGACCTCTTCAAGGAGAACTACAAACCACTGCTCAAAGAAATAAAAGAGGATACAAATAAATGGAAGAACATTCCATGCTCATGGGTAGGAAGAATCAATATCGTGAAAATGGCCATACTGCCCAAGGTAATTTATAGATTCAATGCCATCCCCATCAAGCTACCAATGACTTTCTTCACAGAATTGGAAAAAACTAAAGTTCATATGGAACCAAAAAAGAGCCCGCATCGCCAAGTCAATCCTAAGCCAAAAGAACAAAGCTGGAGGTATCACGCTACCTGACTTCAAACTATACTACAAGGCTACAGTAACCAAAACAGCATGGTACTGGTACCAAAACAGAGATATAGATCAATGGAACAGAACAGAGCCCTCAGAAATAATGCTGCATATCTACAACTATCTGATCTTTGACAAACCTGAGAAAAACAAGCAATGGGGAAAGGATTCCCTATTTAATAAATGGTGCTGGGAAAACTGGCTAGCCATATGGAGAAAGCTGAAACTGGATCCCTTCCTTACACCTTATACAAAAATTGATTCAAGATGGATTAAAGACTTAAACATTAGACCTAAAACCATAAAAACCCTAGAAGAAAACCTAGGCATTACCATTCAGGACATAGGCATGGGAAAGGACTTCATGTCTAAAACACCAAAAGCAATAGCAACAAAAGCCAAAATTGACAAATGGGATCTAATTAAACTAAAGAGCTTCTGCACAGCAAAAGAAACTACCATCAGAGTGAACAGGCAACCTACAAAATGGGAGAAAATTTTCGCAACCTACTCATCTGACAAAGGGCTAATATCCAGAATCTACAATGAACTCAAACAAATTTACAAGAAAAAAACAAATAACCCCATCAAAAAGTGGGCAAAGGACATGAACAGACACTTCTCAAAAGAAGACATTTATGCAACCAAAAGACACATGAAAAAATGCTCACCATCACTGGCCATCAGAGAAATGCAAATCAAAACCACAATGAGATACCATCTCACACCAGTTAGAATGGCAATCATTAAAAAGTCAGGAAACAACAGGTGCTGGAGAGGATGTGGAGAAATATGAACATTTTTACACTGTTGGTGGGAGTGTAAACTAGTTCAACCATTGTGGAAGACAGTGTGGTGATTCCTCAGGGATCTAGAACTAGAAATTCCATTTGACCCAGCCATCCCATTACTGGGTATATACCCAAAGGATTATAAATCATGCTGCTATAAAGACACATGCACACGTATGTTTATTGCAGCACTATTCACAATAGCAAAGACTTGTACCCAACCCAAATGTCCAACAATGATAGACTGGATTAAGAAAATGTGGCACATATACACTATGGAATACTATGCAGACATAAAAAATGATGAGTTCATGTCCTTTGTAGGGACATGGATGAAATTGGAAATCATCATTCTCAGTAAACTATCACAAGAACAAAAAACCAAACACCGCATATTTTCACTCATAGGTGGGAATTGAACAATGAGAACACATGGACACAGGAAGGGGAACATCACACTCTGGGGACTGTTATGGGGCGGGGGTGGGGGGAGGGATAGCATTAGGAGAGATACCTAATGCTAAATGACGAGTTAATGGTTGCAGCACACCAGCATGGCACATGTATACATATGTAACTAACCTGCACATTGTGCACATGTACCCTAAAACTTAAAGTATAATAATAATAAAATTTAAAAAAAAAACATGAACGGAACTGGACCACATTATGTTAAGTGAAATAAGGCAGGCACAGGAAGACAAACTTCACAAGTTCTCAAAAATTTGTTTGAGCAAAAAATGAAAACAATTGAACTCATGGAGATAGTAAAATGATCATTACCAGAGGCTGGGAAGTGTTGTAGGTGGTGTGGGGAAATGAGGATTAATAACAGGTACAAAAATATATATAGATAGAATGAATAAGGTCTAGTATATGGGCAGCACAACAGGGTGATTACAGTCAACAATAATTTATTGTACATTTTAAAATAAAAGAGTATAATTGGATTGCTTGTAACATAAACAAATGATGAATGCTTGAGGTGATGGATACCTATTTACCCTGATGTGGTTATTATGCATTGTGAGCCTTTATCAAAATATCTAACATACTTCAGAAATATATACACCTAGTATGTACCCATAAAACTTAAAAATTAAAAAAATTAAAAGTAGTTTGTCTTTAGGACAGCTGTTCGTTAATGAGAACAGAATACTCTTGGCATATTTTGAAATACTTACTTTCCCCTTGCCCTGCTAAAAGCAACAGTGGATTTTCTCTGATCTTCACCCTGACAACCTACTGGGGCTTCTGGAGGTATAAGTCAATCACAAAAGTAGGAAACTTCCCAAAGGCTAGGTGCCTAGGAATGTTTTATCTCTCAAGCTTAGCCCATACTCAGTTTCAAGCAATTCACCAATTACAATTTATATGTTTCTACCGGGTTCCAACTGTAGCTTCTGCTCTGGTAAATTGTGATTCGCTATATTTCCATTTTTCCAGTTTTCAGAGCATTGGTTTTCCTTGTGATCACAATTTTCTAATGGATCTAAGAATTGTTGATTTTCTGTTTATTCGGCTTTTTGCTTGTGATGAATGGATGATGACTTCTAAATTCTTTACATGTTGGACCAGAAACTACAAATAAGTGGATTTTGTGGGTTTTTTTTTCAGTCACTCTGCCAATCTTTCTTTTAATTGGTGTAGACAAACCATTTACATTTAAGTTAATTATTGTTATCTGTGTCTTATGTCAGCGATTATATTGTTTTCTCTTTGTTTTCTGTTTCTCATTCTTCTTTTTCTCTTATCTCCCTATGGGTTTTAAATATTTTAAAGATTATATCCTGACAAACATATAGTGTTTTTGAATAAATTTGCCCATATAGTTTTCTTACAGTTGCTCTAGGTATTATAATATAAATATGTAAATATAACAATGTACTGGTTTTAGTATTATACATTTTTAGTAAAATATTGAAACATGAACTCCATTTATGTCCTTTTATCCTCCCCACTTAAAAAAATATTTGTTTCAAGTATGTCCTCTACCTATGTTAAGCACCACATCAACTGGTGTTATAATTTTTGCCTCAACCTTCAAATATAATTTTAAAAACTTATGAGGGCCAGACATGGTGGCTCATGCCTGTAATCCCAGTACTTTGGGAGGCTGAGGTGGGTGAATCACCTGAGGTCAGGAGTTTGAGACCAGTCTAACCAACATGGTGAAACTGCATCTCTACTAAAAATACAAAAAAAAAAAATAGCTGGGTGTGGTGGCAGGTGCCTTGTAATCCCAGCTACTCAGGAGGCTGAGGCAGGGGAATTCCTTGAACTTGGGAGCTGGAGATTGAAGTGAGCCGAGTTGGCACCACTGCAATCCAGCGTGGGCAACAGAGCAAGACTCCGTCTCAAAATAAATAAATAAATAAATAAATAAGAAAACTTATGAGGAGTTGGATAATCTATTATAGTTACTCCTACTTTTACACATTCCAATTTTCTTTCCTTTCTGAAGTTGAAAGCCTTCTGTTATTAGCTTTCTGAATACAGAATTTTCTTTAGCAATCTGTAGTAGGACTGTTGCTTGCACATAATTTTTAATTTTCCTTTGTATCAGAACATTTTTATTTCCCCTTCATTCATAATATATATTTTCTCCAGATACAGAACTCTCTGTAACAGTTCTTTACATTCAGCACTTGAAAACTGTTGTGCCATTTACTTCTGATCTCCATAATTTCAGATGAGAAATCCATAGTCTTGGCAATCAGTGTTCCCCTATGAATAATGCAGCATCTCTCTCTGGCTGCTTTCAAAATATTTTTCTTGTCTTTAATTTTCAGAAGTTTAATTATGATTTCTGTTAGTGTGGATTTCTGTGAATTTATCCTATTTAGAGTATGCTTAGCTTCTTGAATCTGTAGGCTTATTTCTGTGGTCAAAATTTCAGACCCCAATAAAGAGAACAGTGGGACCAAGATGACCAGTTAGAAGCAGCTGTGGTCCATGGCACTCATGGAGAGGAATGAAAGGGATGAGTGAAATCAGCACCTTCTACTGAAATATACAGGTTCTTGCATTCAGACTGATTGGGCAAACAACTCAATCCACAGAGAACAAAGAAAAGCAGGGTGGGGTGACGGCCTACCCAGGAGCAACACAGAGCCAAAGGACCTCCTACCCACAGCCAAGGGATGTGGTGAGTGACTGTGCAACCCTATCTGGGAAACCATGCTTCTCCCATGGATCTTTGAAACCCATGGGTCAGGAGATCCCCTTGTGAGCTCACACCACCAGGGCCTTGGGTCTGATACACAGAGCTGTGTGGAGTCTCCACAGTGCAGCCACTCAGGCACACACAAAGACCCAGGAATTTTATATACTCTGTCCCTGGGATCCCTGGCAAGGTGGAAGGTCCATCCATACATACCCTTAGGATGGGGCTGAATCCAGGGAGCAAAGCAGCATCATTGTGCAGGCCCCATTTCCAAAGTACCTCAAAAGATAGCACCCATTGGCTTGGAATTCCTACCAGCCAATGGCAACAGGCTAGAGTCTGCCTGAGATGGGATGGAGTTCCCAGAGGGAGGGTTGGCCACCATCTCTGTGGTTCAGTCAACTCAGCCATTCCAGCCATCCAGCTTTGAAGAGTACAAACAGTCTGGATGAGGAAGGGTCCCCCACCAATTCAGCACAGCTGCTTTGCCAGATTGTGGCCAGTGGCACAATCTCGGCTCACTGCAACCTCTGCCTCCCAGGTTCAAGCGATTCTCCTGCCTCAGTCTCCCAAGTAGCTGGGACTGCAGGCACGCACCACCATGTCCAGCTAATTTTTGTATTTTTTAGTACAGATGGGGTTTTGTCACATTGACCAGGATGGTCTCGATCTCTTGACCTCATGATCTGCCCACCTCAGCCTCCCACAGTGCTGGGATTAAAGGCGTGAGCCACTGCACCCGGCCCAGACTGCTTCTTTAAGCACGATCCAGATCGTGATCCATTCCTCCTCACTGGGCAGGACCTCCCTGCAGGGGCTCCGGCCACTTCAGCCAGGATTATACACACAGAGCTGTGATCTCTCACTGGGATGGAGCTCCTGGACAGAGGAGCAGCTGCCATCTCTGTGGTTCGGTCAACTCAGCCATTCCAGCCTGCTGGCTTTGGAGAGTTCAAATGGTTCAAACAAGGAAGGGTCCCCCAACAAAGCAGTAAACCTGCTTTACCAAAAAGCAGCCAGACTGCTTCTTTAAGTGGGTCCCTGATTCTACCCCTCTTGACTGGGTGAGACCTCCCAACAGGGGTCTCCAGACACCTCCTACAGGCATGTTCAGGCCAGCAACAGGTCAGTACCCTGCTGGGACGAAGCTTCCAGAGGAAGAAGCAGGCTCCCATCTTTGCTGTTTTGCAGGCTTCACTGGTGATACCTCCAGGTACAGGAAAAACTGAGGAAACTAGGGTCTGGAGTGGTCCCTTAAAAAACTGCAGTAGCCCTATGGAAGACTGGGCTGACTGTTAAAAGGAAAATGTAAACAACAACAACAAAGACTCCACAAAAGCCACATTCAAAGATCAGCAACCTCAAAGACTGAAGGTAAATAAGCCCACAAAGATGAAAAAGAATCACTGCAAAAACACTGAAAACTCAAAAAGCCAGAATGCCTCTTCTCCTCCAAATGACTGCAGCACCTCTCCAGCAAGGGCACAGAACTGGGCCAAGACTGAGATGGCTGAATTGACAGAAGTGAGCTTCAGGTGTGTAATAATGAACTTTCCTAAGCTAAAGGAGCATGTTGTAACCCAAAGCAAAGAAGCTAACTATCATGATAAAACAATACAGGAGCAGACAGGCAGAACAGCCAGTTTAGAGAGGAACATAACTGACCTGATGGAGCTGAAAAACAGACTATGAGAACTTCGCAATGCAATCATAAGCATCAATAGCAGAATAGACCAAGCAGAGAAAAGAATCAACAAGCTTGAAGACTATCTTTCTGAAATAAGACAGGCAGACAAGGATAGAAAAAAAAAACAATGAAAAGGAATGAACAAAACCTTCAAGAAATATGGGATTATGTAAAGAGATTGAACCTATGACTGATTGGGGTAACTGAAAGAGACAGGGAGAATGGAACCAAGTTGGAAAATTCTTCAGGATATCATCCAGGAGAACTTTCCCAACTTAGCAAGACAGGCCAACATTCAAATTCAGGAAATTCAGAGAACCCCAGTAAGATACTCCATGAGAAGATCAACCCCAAGACACATAATCATTGATTATCCACGGTCAAAATGAAAGAAAAAAAGCCAGGTCACCTAAAAAGGAAAGCCCATCAGACTAACAGCAGACCTCTCAGCAGAAACCTACAAGCCAAATGAGATTGGGGGACAATATTCAGCATTCTAGAAGAAAAAAATTTTCAACACAGAATTTCGTATCAAGCCAAAGTAAGCTTCATAAGTGAAGGAGAAATAAAATCCTTTTTCAGACAAGCAAATGCTGAGGGAATTTGTCACCACCAGGCCTGCCTTGCAAGAGCTCCTGAAGGAAGCACTAAATACGGAAAAGAAAAGCTGTTACTAGCCACTACAAAAACACACTGAAATACACAGACCAGTGACACTATGAAGCAACCACATAAACAAGTCTGCAAAATAACCAGCTAGCATCGTGATGACAGGATCAAATCCACACATAACAACACTAACTTTAAATGTAATTAGGCTAAATGCCCCAATTACAAGACACAGAATGGCAAACTGGATAAAGAGCCAAGACCCATCGGTGTGCTGTCTTAAAGAGACCCATCTCATGTGCAAAGACACATATAGGCTCAAAATAAAAGGAAGAAGGAAAATCTATCAAGCAAATGAAAACAGAAAAAAAGTAGGGGTTAGAATCCTAGTTTCTGACAAAACAGACTCTAAAACAACAAAGATTAAAAAAGAAAAAGAAGGGTATTACATAATAGAAAAGGGTTCAATTCAACAAGAAGAGCTAGCTATCCTAAATATATATGCACCCAATACAAGAGCACCCAGATTCATAAAACAAGTTCTTTATCCTAAATATATATGCACCCAATACAAGAGCACCCAGATTCATAAAACAAGTTCGTAGAGACCTACAAAGAGACTTAAACTCCTACACAACAATAGTGGGAGACTTTAACACTCCCTGACAATATTAGACAGACCACTGAGACATAAAATTAACAGAGATATTCAGGACCTGAACTCAACTCTGGATCAAGTGAACCTGATAGATATCTACAGGACTCTCTACCCAAAAACAACAGAACATACATTCTTCTCATCATCACACAGCACTTACTCTAAAATTGATTGCATAATTAGAAGTAAAACACACCTCAGCAAATGCAAAAGAACTGAAATCAGAACAAAGTCTCTCAGACCACAGCACAATCAAATTAGAACTCAAGATTAAGAAATTCACTCAAAACCACACACCTACATGGATAATGAACAACGTGATCCTGAGTGACTCTTGGGTAAATAACGAAATTAAGGCAGAAATCAAGAAGTTCTTTGAAACTAATGAGAACAAAGAGATAATGTACCGGAATCTCTGGAACGCAGCTAAAGCAGTGTTAAGAGGGAAATTCATAGCACTAAATGCCCACATCAAAAAGCTAGAAAGATCTCAAGTTAACAACCTAAAACCACAGAGAAAAGAAGTAGAGAACCAAAAGAAAACAAATCCTAAAGCTAGCAGAAGACAAGTAATAACCAAGATCAGAGCTGAACTGAAGGAGATAGACACACACACACACACACACACACACACACACACAAAACAACTTCAAAAAATCAATAAGTCCAGGAACTGCTTTTGTTTTAATTAATAAAATAGACTGATAGCTAGACTAATAAAGAAGAAAAAAGAGAAGAATCAAATAAGCACAATCAGAAATGATTAGGAGGATATCACCACTGATCCCACAGAAATACAAACAACTATCAGAGAATACTACAAACACCTCTATGCACATAAACTAGAAATTCTAGAGGAAATGAATAAATTCCTGGGAACATACACCCTCCCAAGGCTGAAGCAGGGAGAAATTGAATCCCTGAATAGACCAAAAACAAATTCTGAAATTGAGGCAGTAATAAATAGCCTACCAGCCAAAAAAAACAAAACAAAACAAAAAACCTCAGGATCAGACAGATTCACAGCTGAATTCTACCAGATGAGAAAACAATAGCTAGTACCATTTCTACTGAAACTATTCCAAAAAAGTTGAAAAGGAGGGACTCCTCCCTAACTCATTCTAAGGCCAGCATCATCCTGATACCAAATCTTGGCAGAGATATGATAAATAAAGAACACTTCAGGCCAATAACTTTGATGAACATGGATACAAAAATCTTCAATAAAATGCAGGCCAACCAAATCCAGTAGCACATTAAAAAGCTTCTCCACCATGATCAAGTTGGCTTCATCCCTGGGAGGCAAGGTTGGTTCAACATATGCAAATCAATAAATGTGATTTGTGAAATAAACAGAACTAAAGACTAAAACCACATGATTATCTCAATAGATTTGAAGAAGACTTTGATAAAATTCAACATCCCTTCATGTTATAAACTCTCAATAAATTAGATATTGAAGGAACATACCTCAAAATAATAAGAGCCATATATGATAAACTCACAACCAATATCATACTGAATGGGCAAAAGCAGGATGCATTCACCTTGAAAACCAGCACAAGACACGGATGCACTCTCTCATCACTCCTATTCAACACAGTACTGGAAGTTCTGGTCAGGGAAATCAGGCAAGAGAAAGAAAGTAAAGAGAATTCAAATAGGAAGAGAGGAAGTCGAATTACCTTTGTTTGCAGATGACATGATCCTATATCTAGAAAACCCCATTGTCTCAGCCCAGAAGCTTCTTAAGCTGATAAGCAACTTCAGCAAAGTCTCAGGATACAGAATCAATGTGCAAAAGTCACTAGCATTCTTACACACCAACAAAAGGCAAGCAGAGAGCCAAATCATGAATGAACTCCCATTCAAAATCACTACAAAAAGAATAAAATACCTAGAAATACAGCTACAAACCACTGCTCAGAGAAATCAGAGAGCACAAAACGAATGGAAGAACATTCCATGCTCATAGATAGGAACAATCAATATCATGAAAATAGCCACATTGCCCAATGTAATTTATATATTCAATGCTATTCCCATTAAACTACCATTGACATTCTTCACATAATTAGAAAAAACTATTTTAAAATTCATATGTGAACGAAAAAAGAGCCTGAATAGCCAAGACAATCCTAAGCAAAAAGTACAAAGCTGGAGGCATCAAGCTACCCAACTTCAAGCTATACTACAAGGCTACAGTAACCAAAACAGCACAGTACTGGTACAAGAACAGAAACGTAGACTAGCGGAACAGAATAGAGAACTCAGAAATAAGATGGCACACCTACAACCATCTAATCTTCAACAAGCCTGACAAAAGCAATGGGGAAAGGATTCCCCATTTAAAAAATGGTACTGGGAGAACTGGCTAGCCCATATACAGAAAATTTAAGCTGGACCCATTCCTTACACCATATACAAAAATTAACTCAAGATGGATTAAAGACTTAAATGAAAAACCCAAAACTATAAAAACCGTAGAAGAAAATCTAGGCAATACCATTCAGGACATAGGCATGGGCAAATATTTCATGACAAAAACACCAAAAGCAATTGCAAGAACAGCAAAAACTGACAAATAGGATCTAATACACCTAAAGAGCTCCTGCACATCAAAAGAAACTATAATCAGACAACTCATAGAATGGGGTAAAATTTTTGTAATCTATCCATCTGACAAGATCTAATATCCAGAATCTATGAGGAACTTAAACAAATTTACAAGAAATAAACAACCCCATTAAAAAGTAGACAAAGGACATGAACAGACACTTCTCAAAAGAAGACATTAGTGCAGCCAACAAACATGAAAAAAGCTCAACATCACTGACCATTAGAGAAATGCAAATCAAAACCACAATGAGATACTATCTCACATCCATTCAGAATAGCTGTTATTAAAAAGTTATAAAACAACAGATGCTGGTGAGGTTGTGGAGAAAAAGGAATGCTTTTACATCGTTGGTGCAAGTGTAAATTAGTTCAACCAATGTGGAAGACAGTGTGGTGATTCCTCAAAGGCTTAGAGGCAGAACTACCATTTGACCCAGCAGTCCCATTACTGGGTATATACCCAAAGGTATATACCCAAAGGTATATAAATTATTCTGTTATAAAGATACATGCGACCGGGCGCAGTGGCTCACGCCTGTAATCCCAGCACTTTGGGACACCGAGTCAAGTAGATAACCTGAGGTCAGGAGTTCCAGACCAGCCTGACCAATATGGTGAAATCCCGTCTCTACTAAAAATACAAAAATTAGCTGGGCGTGGTGGCACGCATCTGTAACCCCAGCTACTCAGGAGGCTGAGGAGGAAGACTCACTTGAACCCCAGAGGCAGAGGTTGCAGTGAGCCAAGATCAGGCCACTGCACTCCAGCCTGGACAACAGAGGGAGACCTTGTCTCAAAAAAAAAAAAAAAGATACCTGCATGCGTATGTTTATTGCAGCAATATTCACAATAACAAAGACATGAAATCAACCTAAATACCCATCAGTTACAGAATGGATAAAGAAAATATGGTACATATACACCACGGAATACTATGTGGCCATAAAAAGGAACAAGGTCATGTCTTTTGCAAGGACATGGATGGAGTTGGAAGCTATTATCCTCAGCAAACTAATGCAGGAACTGAAAACCAAACACCACATGTTCTCACTTATAAGGGGAGCTGAATGATGCGAACACATGGACACCTGGCGGGGAATAACATACACTGCAACATGTCAGAGGGCGTGTGTGGGAAGGGACAGCATCCAGAAGAATAGCTAAGGGATGCTGGGCTTAATACCTAGATGATGGGATGATCTGTGCAGCAAACCACCATGGCACACCTTGACCTATAACAAACCTGCATATCATGCACATGTACCCCTGAACTTAAAATAAAATTTGAAAAAAAGAAAAAGGGAGACCATTGAATGACGGCACCAAGGCTAGGATTGTAAATATGCATATGAGCACGGCTCGTTGGGGTGGGGCAAAGAAAGGCTGAGTCCTTAACTCCCTTCAGAAAATTGCAATCCATTGACAGTGAAATGTGGTATCAGGAGGCAGCTTCTCCCCAATCAGGCTTGCTTATAACCGGGCCTGAAGGATCACACATAGGATTTTTACCTGGAGCTGGACTCCTCAATAAATAATAACAAATTGGCAAAACAAATTCAGCCACTATTATTTTTTGTTATTACTTGAATAATATTTCACTGCCATTATCTCTCTCCTCTCTTTCTGGAACTCTGATGATAGAAATGATCTGTTTTGCTATTGTCTCATCAGTCCCTGGGACTCTGTTCATATTTTTTTTCAATCTATTTTTTCTTTGTTGTTTAGACTGCATAAATTCTACTGATCTTATTCTAGTTCATTTATTTTGTTTTTTATCTTCTGTACTACTGAGCCATTGAGCAAGTTTTTCATTTTGATTATTTTAATTTTATATCTATGATTTCTAGTTATTTATCTCTTATAGCTTTATTTCTTTGGTGAAAAACAGAAAATTAATTTCTTTCCATTTTTCATTATTTAAAATCATTCATAATTTCTTGTTGAAACATTTTTATGATAGCTGCTTTAAAAACTTTGTCAGATAATTCCAATACTTAATTTCTCTTGGTGTTGACATCTATTGCTTTTTCTTGATTATGTTTGATTTTCCTGGTTTGTGTTATAACAGATAATTTTTATTGTATCCTGGACATTCTGGATATGATATTATGAAACTATGCATCCTATTTAATCTTCTTTATTTTAACAGACAGTCCATCTGTTTAGGTGTAGCTGCCATGACAGCTGGGGTGAATGTCCTGCCAACACCACCCAGGCAAAAGTGGGCCACTTACTCACACTGCCTCATGGAAGATGTGCGAATAAAAGCTCCTCCTCAGCCCCCACAGATAACTTCCTAGTGAAAGTGGGACACTGACAGGTGGGTATAGCGACTCAGCTTCCTACAGGACCACTTTGACATCTTCAGTGAAGGAACAGAAGAGCTGTCTAGCCTTCCTTAATACCACATCATTCAGTCTCATTATTGCTGGGCAAGTTTAGAGGTTCAGCTCTGCACTGGCCTTGTCGACACCACGGGTAGGCAGAAAGTGAGTGCTTAGTAGTCCTGACTAGCACTGCCTTATTCAGTCTTATTTATCTCAGGTGGGAGTGAAAGTGTAGCTCCTCACTGGGCCCTGTGACATGGAGAGGGTGGTGGGTAGTGAAGCCTACTGGTGGCAAGCACCAGCCCCGACCACCTCATTAAGTCTTATTGCTGCTAGGTAAAACTCAAGGTTTAGCTCACCACTGAATACCACTGAAGTGACTCTAGTGGGGAAGTCTGAACATTACGTGCTCCTGCCAGGCGGGGAATGGAAGTTCCTCTCTCACATCCCAGCACAACCAATAGTATTCCAGTAAGGGAATCAGAGCACTACATGCTTCTACCATGCAGAGGGTAGAAGATCAGCAGCCTGCTTGGTCCAATTAATACTACTTTTACAGGGGAATCAGATAACTGCTGCCTGCTACTACTGGGCAGGGGATGGAAGATTAGATCCCCATTCAGCTTACTGACAGTGCAGAAATTAGAGTGCTAGTCACTTGCACCAAACGGAATATCACCGAAACGATGGTGGAGTGAGGTGTTGTTTCTCCGTTGTTGTTTGTCTTGTATAGCATAGGTATTGATAAAAAGGTTTTCTGATGGTAGGCCACACTTTTCCTGATCGTTTGGCTTGGTGGGAAGGGGAGACTGGCTTTTCTTGGAACTTATTTTGTCTTTGCCTGTTGGCAGTTCTGGATAGAAGGATTCTGCCTTACTCTGTCCAGGATATATAGGAAGTAATAAGGAAATTCAGGAAACTCACCACTGTGTATTTCCTCAAGTAACAAATTACCTAGGCTGTCAACCTGTTTCTTTCAATGTTTCAGAGTCTTCCTATGCCTGTTTATATTGTTAGATCTAGGTTATTTAGTTGTGAGTGGAGGACCTAGAAGGAATGGGGCTATTCCATCTTGACAGAACCAGAAGTCACCCAAAAGATTATTTTGACAAGGCAATATTTTTATTATAACTTATTAGCATTTTAAAATAGGGATTTGTCCTAATGCTATCCCTCCCCTTGTACTCCACCCACCAACAGACCCCGGTGTGTGATGCTCCCCTCCCTGTGTCCATGTGTTCTCATTGCTCAACTCCCACTTATGAGTGAAAACATGCAGTGTTTGGTTTTCTGTTCCTGTGTTAGTTTGCTGAGAATGATGGTTTCCAGCTTCATCCATGTCCCTGCAAAGGACACGAACTCATTCTTTTTTATGGCTGCATAATATTCCATGGTGTATACGTGCCACATTTTCTTTATCCAGTCTATCTTTGATGGGGATTTGGGTTGGTTCCGAGTCTTTGCTATTGTAAATAGTGTTGCAATAAACATACATGTGCACGTGTCTTTATAATAGAATGATTTATATTCCTTTGGGTATATACCCAGTAATGGGATTGCTGGGACAAATGGCATTTCTGGTTTTAGATCCTTGAGGAATCACCACACAGTCTTCCACAATGGTTGAACTAATTTACACTCCCACCAACAGTGTAAAAGCATTCTTATTTCTCTGCATCCTCACCAGCTTCTGTTGTTTCCAGACTTTTTTTTTTTTTTTTTTTTTTTTTTTTGGGATGGAGTCTCGCTCTGTCACCCAGGCTAGAGTGCAGTGGTGTGATCTGGGCTCACTGCAACCTCTGCCTCCTGGGTTCAAGTGATTCTCCTGCCTCAGCCTCCCAAGTAGCTGGGACTACAGGCATGTGCCACCATGCCCAGCTAATTTTTTGTATTTTTAGTAGAGATGGGGTTTCACCATGTTAGCCAGAATGGTCTCGATCTCTTGACCTCGTGATCTGCCTGCCTCAGCCTCCCAAAGTTCCGGAATTACAGGCGTGAGCCACCGCACCCTGCCTGTTTCCAGACTTTTTAATGATCGCCATTCTAACTGGCATGAGATGGTATTTCATGGTGGTTTTGATTTGCATTTCTCTAATGATCAGTGAGGATGAGCTTTTTTTCATACGTTTGTTGGCCACATAAATGTCTTCTTTTGAGAAGTGTCTGTTCATATCCCTTACCCACTTTTCGATGGGGTTATTTTTTTTCTTGTAAATTTGTTTAAGTTCCATGTAGATTCTGGATATTAGACCTTTGTCAGATGGATAGATTGCAAAAATTTTCTCCCATTCTGTAGGTTGCCTGTTCACTCTGATGATAGTTTCTTGACATGATTGTATATGTAGCAAACCCCATCGTCTCAGCCTCAAAACTCCTTAAGCTGATAAGCAACTTCAGCAAAGTCTCAGGATACAAAATCAATGTGCGAAAATCACAAGCATTCCTATACACCAATAATAGACAAATAGAGAGCCAAATCGAGTGAACTCCCATTCACAATTGCTACAAAGAAAGTAAAATACCTAGAAATACAACTTATAAGGGACATGAAGGACCTCTTCAAGGAGAACTACAAACCACTGCTCAAGGAAATAAGAAAGGACACACACAAATGGAAAAGCTTTCCCTCCTTATGAATAGGAAGAATCAATATTATGAAAATGGCCATACCGCCCAAAGTAATTTATAGATTCGATGCTATTCTCATCAAGCTACCATTGGCTTTCTTCACAGAACTAGAAAAAACTACTTTAAACTTCATATGGAACCAAAAAAGAGCCCGTATACCCAGGACAGTCTTAAGCAAAAAGAACAAAGCTGGAGGAATCATGCTACCTGACTTCAAACTATACTACAAGGCTACAGTAAACAAACTAGCATGGTACTGGTACCAAAACAGATATATAGACCAATGGAACAGAGCAGAGGCCTCAGAAATAACACCACACATCTACAACCATCTGATCTTCAACACACCTGACAAAAACAAGCAATGGGGAAAGGATTCCTTATTTAATAAATGGTGCTGGGAAAACTGGCTAACACATGTGAAGAAAACTGAAACTGGACCCCTTCCTCACACCTTATACAAAAATTAACTCAAGATGCATTAAACACTTAAACCTAAGACATAAAAACCACACAAACCCTAGAAGAAAACCTAGGCAATACCATTCAGGACATAGGCATAGGCAAAGACTTAAACCTAAGATCTAAAACCATTAAAACCCTAGAAGAAAACCTAGGCAATACCATTCAGGACATAGACATGGGCAAAGACTTCATGACTAAAACACCAAAAGCAATTGCAACAAAAGCCAAAATTGACAAATGAGATCTAATTAAACTAAAGACCTTCTGCACAGCAAATGAGTGAATATTTTTGATTTCTCATTTTGCAAACAATTATACTTGGTTATTTTGTGCTCTACTTTAATTTTTTGTAGAGTAGTATTTTAAACCAAACATATAGACTGAAGATAGAATAATCTAGGAACTTATGCAGATATATTTGTAAAATGCAGATAAATTATTGTGAGAAACATAACCAAAGAAATACAATCCATTGGTGTTAAGCACTCAAAATTGTCATTTTTGGAATGTTGATATAATTCAAAATATTCAGGAACTTTTAAACATTGTCTTCAGTAATTTGAACTGGCATGACTTTTAAAATGTCTATTTTATAGCTATTCTTTTTTTTAAGTTAACCAAAAACAGTGTTAGCTAGTTGGAGCATCAAATTTACTGGGTAGACATGGTTTCAAATGAGTTTTGACTACCAAAGATAATCTTAAAGACTACCTTAAAGAGTATTCAATCTTGAGGATATTTTGGTATTTTATACTACGAATGCTACACAACTTGCATAACAGCTTTACTACACATTTGCATAATTTACAATGATTTTTGATAAATTTTCTCACTTGAGTCTCATGACAATTCTAAGAGATGGGAATCCCCATATCTCCAATGAAAATTGCAAGGATTACTGGGGTTATGTAATTTACCCAATATTATAGAGCCCTAAACTTGAAATTAGACATAAGTTCCAACTCTTCTCACCCTTAATTTAGCTCTCTCTCTAAGTATATCACATTGCTTTGCAATTCTACATGTTCTGGTGAAATTGTGATTTTTTTATACAAAATTTATTTTCATATAAGTTATAAGAATGCAATTTATGCAGCTAGCTCTATGAGATAATTTTGATGAGGACATATACTTCAATGAAAATTAAGAAGTTTTGCTACTAAAACCATCCTTAATTTTGCCTTTTGAATTTACACATTCAGATTAATAGCTAGGCAGATGTAAAGCCATAAATCTTTATTTCCAAATTGCCAGACATCTGGTACCCTAAGAGTCATCGTATTAGAACAACCAATCATTGATACCAATTTAAAAATCTAGACACGGTCAAAGGCAAATAAGTAGTAATGCACCCCTTCTCATAATGGCCATAATCTGCCATGAAATAAAACAAAAATAAGATTGTTTTGTTGAAAATTAAAAGTAGCCAAATGTTAATGGAAAAGAGCTTGGTAATTATGCCTTCATATAGGATTTTTGCAAAATTATTTGCCTGGAAAGCAAGAAAATGCTGTAAAATTTTCATTATCAACCAGTTTCTATTTCTTCTATCAGATTGCAAATCTCATAAAAATTGGATTAATTTATAATTGAATGATATGGGACATTTTGTCTAATGAGAAAAGATGTGCTGCTTCATACAAGCTTAGAAATAATATATTGTTCTGAAAATACGGTTTCTGACTTAGGAGACATATTGTGAATTTTCATGAAGTCAGGGAGAGAGGAAAAGTTGTCATAAAACGTGATCCATTAGAATTTCCAGGGATCAGACTATACTTTCCTACTAACAACCCTTTTTAAATATGGATGTCGTGTATTTTCATATTATATGTACAATTCTTGTGCTTCTTACCTATGAATATGTGAAACTTTTTCTATTTTGAATTCAGAGTTCATGTTCTATTTTACTTCCATTCAAAAAGTATACTGTATACCCACTGCATATAAAAATGGAATGAAAATAAAACATGCTCAAAAGCAGATAAGAATTCTACCCTTGGAAGTGAGTGAGTGGTTGATTTGGAAAAGATTCCATAGAGGAAGATACATTTCAATAGAGTCTTGATGAGTTAAAATGGTGCTTGAGTGACAGATAAACAAGAGAAGCAAGACCATGTTTTTTGATGTCTTAGCTAAAACATAAATCGTGCTAAGAGTATGGTTAGAAATAGAGAGGTAAAGCTAGATTGAGGTCATCCTGTAAATGACTTGACGACCATGCAAGGTACTTCAGTCTTTATGCTCTAGTAAGTCACAGTAGAGACTTCTTATTTATTTAAAATATTTTTAGGCCAGGCGTGGTGGCTCATACTTGTATTCTCAGTGCTTTGTGAGGCTGAGGTGGGAGAATTTCTTAAGGCCAGGAGTTTGAGACCAGCCTGGGTAACATAGCAAGACCCTGCCTCTACAAAACAATTAGCTGGGCATGGTGCTAAAAAAATTAGTTGGGCATGGTGCATGCCTGTAGTCCTTGCTACTCAGGAGGCTGAGGTGGGAGGATTGTCTGAGCCCAAGAGTTCAAGGTTACAGTGAGCTATGATCATGCCACTGCACTCCAGCCTGGGTAACAGAGCAAGACCCTGTCTCTCTAAAAAATAAAATAAAATATTTAAAAGATGTTTACTAAAGTAATACATACGAGTTAATAATCAAATGGTTTATAAGGACTTACAATGAAAAAACCATAGTCCTCTGCCCCATCCTTATGCACTTCCTTTTTACCTCATTTAAGCTGATTGTATTAGTAGATTTGTTAATTTAGGGCACTATCCAAGGACTTTTTGTCATGGCATAAGAGTATTTAGCTAATTTACATCATACCTCTACTGCTTCATTCATTTCCCCCATGTCATTATTTTTTTTTTTATTTTCAGCCCCTTTATTGCTTACCATTGTAACTTTAAGGAATATATTTAGATGATTTTTTCCATCAACTATGTAAAGTATCCCTTAACTCTCCACCACATAAAATGAGTATATCAGCCTTCTGTTTTACCCCTTTAGTTTTCTTCCCCTTTGAAGTCTACTTTATCTGATGTTAATATAGTTACTCCTGTAAAAAATATATTTGCACAGTATATATTTTCCATCCTTTTACTTCCAACCTATATCATTATATTTGAAGTGAGTTTCCTGTAAACAACATATAGTTGGGTCATGTTTTTAAATCCACTCTGCACTCTTTTGTGTACTTAGACCATTTATATTTGAGATAATTACTGACGTGTTGGAGCTTAAGTGTGCCATTTTATTTTTCTCTGTTGTTTTTCATCCATTTTCTTTTTTCTGCCTTTCTATGGGTTATGTGAGTAGTTTTTAGAGTCTCATTTTACCTACAGTGTTTTTGAGTATATCTGTTTTATAGTTTTTTAGTGGTTACTCTAGGTATTATATTATATAAACATAACTTATCATAGTCTACTAGTGTCATTATTTTATCAGTTCAAGTGAAGTTTAGAAAGCTTACCTTTCTTTACATGACTTTACTTACCCCATTTATACTCCCTAGTCATATATATCATCTACATATATTGAAAACCACATCAGACAATGTTATAATTTTTGCTGAAACCGTAAAACATAATTTAAAAAACTCAAGCAGAGAAAGTCTATATTGTATTTATTCATATTTTTGCTTCCTATGTTCTTTCTTCCTAATGTTTCATTATTCCTCCTTTTATGATTTCTTTTCTATGTAGAGAACTTCCTTTACCCATTTTTTATGATATTTCTGCTGGCAGAATTTCTTAGTTCTTCTTCATCTGAGGATATCTTGATTTATCTGTCATTCTTAGAGAATATTTTTGCTGAATATAGAATCCTAGGTGGACAGTACTTTTTTTTTTTCAACACTTGAAAAATGTGCCATTTCTTTCCATGGCTTCCTGCTTTTTGCCTTTTTTAGTATTTTTTTTATTTTGGTAAAATGTACATAACAAAATTACCATTTTACATGTAAAATGTAGTGGCATTAAGTATGTTCACAATGTTGTACAACCATCTGCACTATCCCTTTCCAGAACTTACCCATTAGGCAAAACTCCCCATTTTCCCTTCCCCCAGCCCCTGGTAACCACTATTTAACTTTTATCCTTGTCAGATAATTCTAATATTTCTGTAATCATGTTGGCCTCTGTTGATCATCTTCTTTCATTCAGTTTGAAACTTTCCTGGTTATTAGTCTGACAAGTGAATTTCAGTTGAAACTTAGATGTTGGGGGTATTATGTTATGAACCTTTGTATCTTATATAAACCTTCTTTTAATTGTCTTTCTGTAATACAGATCCAGCAAGAGAAGCAAGGGCACTGCCTTCTTTCAGCCAGGTGTGGTAAATGTCCAGGCTCCCCACTCAGCCTTCATTGACACCTAAGGTGGGGCTTTTCATTACTGCTGAGTTATATGAACTACAGTTGGAGGTCTGACTTTCCTACAGGCTTCCACAAATACCTCCCTGGCTAGGATGGGTAAGAGTGATTCATTACTTAAGGTCACTATTTGGTTTCTGCTGACATCATGGGGTGGGAGGTGGCCTAATTACTGCTTGGCAGTGGTCAAAGTCTTAACTCTCCACAGGGACTCCTCTGACGCCATCCCAGTGGAGAAGGGGGCACTCCATTGCTGCTGGATGGAGGTAGAAGTCCAGGTTCCATTGACACTGCAGATGAGTAGGTGGCTAATTACTGCCTGGCAAAAAATCAAAGTCCCAGCTCCTACTTGTCCTTCTCTGACTCTGTCCACCATGGTGGTGGTGTTTGGGTGCCTTGATATGGCCTTGCAAAGGTGGAAGTCTAGGCTCCCTACTTTGCCTTTGCTGGCATGGGTGGGAGTAGGGCCACAGTTTTTTCTGTGGTTGGAGTGGAGTGGTTATTGTCTGAACATTTCCTATCTTTCTCAGCTGCCCCTTTCCTGATTACTTTGATAGAGAGAGCAGGCTTTTCTCAGGCCCTTTTTGTCTGCATCTTTGGCATTTCCAGGTTTCTGGCTTCTTCAGCTCAAAGTCTAATATATATGAGGCAAAAAATAAAAAACCTGAAGAACTCACCACAATGTTATTCCTTGGTTCTGAGTTAACTTCTTGGTCTGCTTTCTTCTCTCCACCTTTCGGTCTTCTTATGTTATACATATATATAATGTCCAGGGTTTTTAGGTGTACTTAACAGAAGGAATAGGGAAAGGTATGTCTACTGCAACTTTATAAAAGTGGACCTCCTTATATAATTAAAAAAAATAAGTCATATCATGTTTCTGACCTGCTTACAATCCTCAATGGCTTGTCACTGCACTTTAAGATAGTTATCACATAGATTACAACGCTGTTTTCTCTAACTTCAGCCTACTTCTCTAGCCTCTTTTTATGCCCTTTGCCCATTCACTGTTTCAGCCACACTGATTTCCTTTCTGTTCCTCAGTCATCTCAAATTCTTTATGCCTTAGAGATTTCACACATGCTTTTATTTCTCCCTTGAATGAGCTATTTCTGGTCTTTTCATGCCCATATTCTTCTTATATCCCAAAACTGTGCCTAAAAGTCAACTACTCAGAGAAGTATTTTCTGATCATCTTAGGGAGTTTCCTCTTTCCTTCACTCCAGTTGTTTTCTATAACTATACCTTGTACATTTCATACCAGTGCTTTTCATAATTTGAGTTTTTATATATATATATATATATATATATATATATATATATATATATATGTATATATATATAGTTTACTAGTATATTTTATGGTTTGTAAGCTCCATAGGGTCAGGAACCATGTCCATTATATTCACTGATTTACCTATGGTGCTTAGCCCAGTACGTGGTGCACAGTAACCATTTAACATTTGTTGAATGGAGATGAAACATTATACATGGTACACAATAACTGTTTAATAAATGTTTGCTGAATGAATGGAGATAAAACAAAATACATAAATTACATTGCCATCTTCTTTTTTTAAATTTCAACTTTTATTTTAGATACAGGGGATACATGTGCAGGTTTGTTACATGGGTATATTTCACCTAGGTAGTGAGCATGCTACCCAATACATAGTATTTCAACCCATGCCTCCTCACCAGTAGTCTGCAGTGTCTATTGTTCCCATGTTTATGTCCATGTGTCCTACTTATAAGTAAGAACACGCAGTATTTGGTTTTCTGTTCCTGCATTAATTCACTCCAGCTCCATCCATGTTGCTGGAAAGGACATATTTTTTGTGGCTGCATAGTATTCCATGATGTTTTATGAAAAACATTTTTTTCTTTATTCAATCCACCAATGATGGGCACCAAGGCTGATTCCATGTCTTTGCTGTGTATGGCTTTATTTCTGAGTTTTCTATTCTGTTCCATTAGTCTGTGCATCTGTTTTTATACCAGTACTATGCTGTTTTGGTTACTGTAGCATTACAGTATGGTTGGAAGTTGGGTAGTGTGATGCCTCTAGTTTTGTTCTTTTGGCTTAGGATTGCTTTGGCGATACAGCCTCTTTTTTGATTCCATATGAATTTTAGAATAGCTTTTTCTAATTCTGTGAAGAATGATGTTCATAGTTTGATAGGAATAGCATTGAATCTGTAAATTGCTTTGGGTAGTATGGCCATTGATTCTTCCAATCCATGAATGTGGAATGTTTTTCTGTTTATTTGAGTTGTGTTCTTTCAGCATGGTTTTATAGTTCTCCTTGTAGAGATCTTTCAACTCGTTGGTTAGCTGTATTCCTAGGCATCTCATTTTCTTTGTGGCTATTCTAAATGGGATTATGTTCTTGATTTGACTCTCAGCCTGGACATTGTTGGTGTATAGAAATGCTACTGATTTTTGTGCATTGATTTTCTATCCTGAAAACTTGCTAAAATAGGTTATCAGTTCTAGTAGCCTTTTGGTGGAGTCTTTAGGGTTTTCTAAGTATAGAATCATATTGCCAGTGAAGAGAGTTTGACTCCTTCTTTCTTATTTGGATACTTTTCATTTTTTTCTCTTGCCTGATTGCTCTCCATTGCCATCTTCTAATATAGAGAGATAGATGCTTTTTTATTTATTAATTTGGTATGCACTTATATTTTCATACTGTGACATACGCTCATAATACTTTTGTATGTCTCTGTCATTTCACTTGCTACATTATATCAAAAATATATATTTGTATGATTTTTTGGTTTACAGGCTTTGAGGACAGAAATCATGTTTTACTCGTTTTTGTATCGATAGTGCTAAGCACAGGGCCTATACAGAGTAGATGATCACTTTGAAAAATCAATAAACGACAGCTTGCATTGTACTATAAAATATTTGAAATAGTTCCTAAGAGTAACTAAACCAAAATATTTTCATTACATTACCGAAATAACTGTTTTCTTTCAAAACCAAGAAAATGTCAAAAGCAATGACACACTTACATGCCTCTCTCTCTTTCTGGATACAGTTCCTGGTCAGTAGGAATAACTGATTTTGTTCCAACTTGGTATGAGCATCCTAAGTTACCCAATCTTCCTAGAAGTAAATAAGACCTATTTGAGGAAAAAAAAAAACCTATGGAGAAGGGAAACTATCTTTCCCATTCTCCATCTCTCATACACTGTAGTCTATCAATTATTAGCCAAATATTAAACAATTGCTCTCTTACCTTAAGCACTTTTTCATTAAAATTTTTGATCTGTCTATAGAGATGTACCAGTTAACCTATAAACAGGACCTTTCAACTTATCTAGCATGAATTTTGCCAGTTTACATTTGCCACTTCCAAGTAGGACTGCTAAATGTTCAGATGAAAATGGATCTATAGTCTTGAATGTGACAGCATTCCCTAAATTTCTGTGTTTTGTAAATAATATTAAAGCTCAGAATAAAGGCTTTAGATCAGGGTCTTTCCTTTGTTTCCTATCCTGCAATATCAACACAGGATTTTTATTAATTATGGGTTATCTTAGGAAGCCCTAATGATTAGGAAAAATGTAGTCTTTTCAAATCTGAAACAGTTGCTGCTGCTACTGCTGCTGCTGCTGCTGCTCCTGCTGCTGCTGCTGCTGCTGCTGATTTACTAGGCCACGCTGGACTGGCCTAGTTTATCCACAGGCAGAGGTTCAGCAGATCTGACTCCTTTTGGGCATATTTATGAGCTTCCTAGGTCAGATCTGTGCCAAGTGGTCAAGCAGTACCTATGCAGCACCATGGTGGCAGCTGCTAAGTTGGCTTGTCACACTTCCATAGATTTGGCCAGTAAAGAGACAACTCCGAATAGATTGAGAAAGTTTATTATTTACACAGACAGCAGTGCAAAATCAGCATGGTGTTGGCTCCCCATGTCCCTAGTCCCATAGGATAACACCAAATCCTAAGGGACAGATGATAGAAGACACGGATGTTGGGTCACTCTGTTGTTGAAGAGCTAACTCTAAACTACAGCTAAACCATTTTTAGTCTGAAACTGTATCTGAAGTTTGGGTAAGATGGAAAGTCCCATGCCTCACTGGAACCAGGGTGGCATGACTTTCCACCCCGGAAATGAGAAATTGACTTTGATAGTTCTTCACTAGACTGTCTTGCCATGTTCCAGGCAGGATTGTAGAGCATTCTGCCAAAACATGTGTCACAACGCAATTGATCTTTGCCTACAGGGCTCATTTGGAGATGTGTAAGATCCCAGGGTGCCACGGCAAAGCTGTTCCCCTACAACTGATGGAGGGGGGATTTCAAAGCCGGTCCAGTTTAAAGAGTGTCATCATACTACTAGAAGTGGTAAAATATAATCAGATAAGAGTAGGTGTCATTATTAGTGTCTGGGATTTCATTAGAAAAGATTAATGCAAGTGGTAGTGGGTAAATTGGAGAAGAATTGTAGTCATTCATTGTGGATCCATCTGAATAAAATATGCACATAGGTAGGCTATGGGGAAAGATAGAAGGAAAATCAACTTGTGAAAAAATTAATGCCCTATATACCAAGCCTCCCTATTCTGACATCCACTTCTTTCACAGACCTTAATAATGCCATAAAGGATATAAAAACTGACAAAACTACCAGATTCTTTTTTTCAGTTCTTATTGGAACAGCATCATTTTTGCACTTCACACAATTTTTCACTTCTTTCTACCTGAAATTCTTTGTTCATTGGGGTATCATGACACTACATTCTCTTGGTTCTTCTTATAATTATTTTACATACCTTCTCTTTCTCTTCTGTGGGCTTCCTCAATGGGGCACCTGACATCCTCCCTGTCTCATCAATATTCTTGTTTTAGTAGTAACTCTCAAACATATATCTTCAGCCCATACTCAGCTTCACATTCCTATACATGATCACAGAAGCAACCTACTGGAAATCTCTTCTTGACTGCCCTATAGGTATTCCATCTTTAGAATGTCCAAGACAGAACTAATATCTCAGATCACTTTCCCCTCCCAAGTCAGCTCCCTTTATTTTTTATGTTATATGGAGGAGAAACAATTTACTCATTTACCCAAGCTAAAATCCCAGGAATCATTCTTGATATTGCTCTTTTTCTAATCTCCTGTATCTAATCGAGAACCTATTTATTAAATATATCTTCTTCTCTCCATCCCCACCTCCACTGCCCTATTTCTGACCTGAGTCATCTCTTCACTGGTCTATTGCCACATCCTCTGAATTGCATCCTATCTCTCTTGAATCTGTTTTCTCCATGGTTGCCAGAGTAGTCTATATAAAACATAAATATATAAATATGACCAAGTCACTCCATTTCTTAAAATCCTTAGATGGCTCTATCTTGGACAGCTTGATTTTTTCCATAATCTGGCTGTTGCCTATCCTTCCCATCTCATCTCCTGTCACCTCTTGCTTTGGTTTTTAATGCCAGCAATCCAGGTACTTATACATAGTGCTCTATAACTTTGATTGCACTGTCCCTTCTGCCTATAAGGTCGCTTCCGCATTAATGCCTGGCTGTCGTCCTTTAAAATCTAAACCAGGCGTTATCCTTTCCATATAGTCTTCCTCCCAGCTGCTAGGTATTTCTCTTCACATATCACTGGACACATCTATCATTGCACTTATCACATTATCTTATTAAATTAACTACACGTTTCTGTTTCTGCTACCAGTCTATGAAAATCTTGGTCATCTTTGCATCCACAAAATCAAGCTAATTTTTCTGATCAAAGGATACAACTTGAGCAGCACATTGTGCTCAAAGAAATGTTTGTTGAATAATGAGTTTATATGCCTGTCATTTATGGCTGACAAGTGTATTGAAAACTTCCCTGGTGGGCTAGGGCTTTATGTGTTAAGAAAACTAGGTTTCCTAATCTTGGTGGGCTCTGGGATTTTTATTAGATTGTGATTAATGCAGCAATGAAGGGCCCTGGAAAGAGCCCTATTAAACCCTATTGGGATAACCTCAACTCAAGCCAATTTCTCTTCACTCAGAGAGTATTGCCATATATCTCGGTCAAGAAAGGACATGGCTGGATTTAATACAGTTTACCCTAGAGGCAGAACAGCAAAGAAAGAATTCTACTAATTTAATTATCCTCTCTGGGTGCTTCTCCCTGTTAATCTAGAGGGAGATTTGGCCCAGGGCAGTGCACTGAAGGCCCATTTACAGTTAAGGTCTCTGATGATTGGAAGCTTAGACAGATTGCTATCAAGTGGTTGGGTATATCAGAGGCTTTGGTACTTAATTCATAGCTGTTAGTTGGATTACACTGCAAAGAAATTGTTTCAGAAATTTTGCTGAGATTTCCCTGGAGCAAGTTTTACATATTGTTCTCGGGAATAATGTGTTTTGTTTACTAGTCTTACCAGAAATGCCTAATTTTTTCTGATCAAGGGGTATAGTTTGGGCAAGCATAGAACACCAGCTTTTGAAATGATAGAAAAGGTCTGGGCAAAAATAAGTGGAAAAAGGAGGTTCCTATCCTTTCCTCTAGTTTAGATAATGGACTACCCTCACAGCTGTTCTGTGTTGTCACTTCTCACTACCCGTTAAAAGACAACAGATAAAAGAGAGAAAATAGTTTGATAAAATATTACTCATTAAAATGGCAAGAATTCTAAAAATCAAACAGCTATAGCAAAAAATACTAAATCTAAATGAACTGGGAAAATTACCAGAAAGGACTCTACAATACATTTTGTCTAAATGTTAAGTAACTAAAAATATTAAAATATGTCTTACATGACAAGTCTGAGGTCTGATGCAGAGCAAGCATTTTAGCAGGAAAAAACGCTAAGTGAAGATTATGGCCCCTATAAGATAGCCTAGGTGGGACAACGTAGGGGTCAGAGATACTAAGCTTGCAGCTCAAGAAGAAACATTCCTATTTTTTACTCCTTTCTTTGGTCCCAAAGGGACAAAGGCTTGAAGGTCTTTCTTCCAGTGGAACGCTCCCTCCCTATCTGACCTAACCTCTGAAAGTCAGATCCTTTGAGCCACCCAGCTTCTATTTAGGAAACCATTTGTAAATTCCATATCTGAAGCTAATTAGACTCACTTCTTTTACTATAAAACCTTAAGAGAATATTTTGATCAAGAGAGTTTTTTAGTGAAATCTAGAGGGACAAGATTAGAAAAGACCAAACTATAACAACTAGTGCCATAAACTGACGCGAGATTATTTTTAAAATAAAAAGGTCATTTAAAGTGATTCATTTTGATATGGGTACAAATATCTCACAAGTTATGTTTCCAATTAATTTAATATTTATACTTTGTCTGCTTCCAAAAAGAATCTAAGGCTGCTTCCAAAGATCAGTTTTGCTTTTATATCTAGACTATTGAAGTAAGTGTGACATCATACTCTTTATGCATTATGTTTTAGTATGTATTTTATGACAACACACTTTCTCCTAATCTTTGAGACTGTATTTTGCATTAGGAGAAGGCAAAATTAAGCTGCTAAAGTCTGTATGTAATCACATTACACTACACTTACAAAAATGGAGCCAGACATTAACATTTTGACTAACAAGCAAAAAAAAAAAAAAAAATAAAACCTAGTTTATTTGAAAAGTTGTGAAAGGAAAAATGCAAGAAAGTTTTAGCTGAGTCATTTGTAGTTAAGAATAAGAATGAAGGCAATGAAGATTTCATCCTTTTATTTTAGGATTTCCCCCAAATCAAGAATATTTGAAGTAAAAAGCCACTTATGTTCTGAACAAATTAAATGAAGTAATTAATGCCCATTGTATTGTCAAAATCAAAGGCAAATGCTATGTTTTGTAGGGGAAACCTCAGGGAGAAGGAATTAGGGCAAATATTTAAAGCCTTGGTAAAATCTGCTAGATAGTATAACTCCACACCTACATTTTGTTTCAGTCGTTACTAGTTCTTAGATTTATTTTTTTAAATAATCTCAGGTGATTAGACCAAATGAATTCCTTACTTTAACATAAATAAGAGGAGAACATATATGACTGAATTCTGATCTAGGGTCTTCCTCAAAATCTTTCTCTGGGATCTTGTTTTCCCATCTTCTTTGGCACTGGTCTTTTCATGAGACACACATCTGTTTTATTTTTACTGCATCTTGGTCTTTGACATTTGTTTTGATATTCCACTCATTAAGCAAGCAATATCTCACTTTGAACCTTGCTTGTCCTGCAAGTCCAGCCTCAAGGTGCAGTTTGGTGTGTCACTCAAATTTAGTCATTTTCTACATTCTCAGAGTTGCTGTTTAGGTTCTGGTCAGGAACACTCAGGGTGACTCTCACACTTTTTTGTAGTTACTTCTGATGAGACATATTCTGTTAACGCTCAATGGGCTTTCCATCACTCATACTGTTCGTTTTGTAACACTGATACAACTCTTTTTACTAGTTTTAAAAGTTCACGTTCTGGAATCACCTTAACTTGGTGCATCATTACATCAGACAAATTACCTTTTTAAGCCTTATTCATTAATTTATCCAACATTTATTGCATTATGTGTAATAGGTTTGGAGATAGGAAGTGAATGTGATAGGTAGGGTTTTCTTATCTGTAATATGTGGCTAATGATGAGCTGTTTTGGAGGATAAAACATATGTAACGTACTTAGCACCATGCTCAATAAATATTCATTGTTATTATTAGCGGTATTATTTTGATAAAATTACTTTTAGCATCTCCCTATAACTGCAGCCCCACAATGTATCCATTACATTTAAAATATATATATATACACACATATATATACACATATATATACATATATACACATATATACACATATATACACATATATACATATATACACATATATACACATATATATACACATATATACATATATACACATATATACATATATACACATATATACATATATACATATATACACATATATACATATATACACACATATATACACATATATACATATATACACACATATATACATATATACACATATATACACATATATACATATATACACATATATACACATATACATATACATATATACACACATATATACACACTATATATACATATATACACATATATACATATATATACACACACATATATATACACACACACACACACATATATATATATATATATATAAAGCTACTCCTTCAATTACTGACACTGAAAACGGTCTTTTCTAGAAACATTGATGTAATGTTCTTAGACTCTACTGGAATGTAAGCACTCCAAAATACAATACCTTTCACACCTGGTCAGCCAAGAAAAAATTGTAAGTCACAACCACGATCTGGATTGTGAAAGTAAGGTGTTGTATCTGTGTCCTCTGAATGTAGGCTTGTCTAGATAATTTTCTAAATGTCTTTCCAAAATTCTGCATATACTTCTAAGTTTGGATAGTTAGAAAAATAAAGAAGCCTAAATACAGGCCATCTTAAATTTTACTTGTTCGCTATCACTAGCATTGAAATCAGCAGTTAAAAACGTCACAATATTTTAACTACTGTGGTTTCAGCTGTTTGTGTGTGTGTGTGTGGGGGGGAAGGGTGTCGTCAACTCATGCCGGTTAAAGAACGTGACATTTCTGCATCTTATAAAATTGGACTAGAGAAAATGGGTTACCATAGGAACTGGCAAAACCTATTGACATTACTGGAATGCTTATTTAAAAAGTTTCTTTTACTTAATGGACCTATTTAAGAATGATAGAGAAAACGCCTATAACGGTGGCAGAGAGTTAGCATCTACACTCTAGGAATATTTGTCTTTTAAAGTGAAGCCTCATTAGGCAAACTGTATTTTACTAACCGTTGCATAGTAGCCTGTGTATGGTTTTTGAAGAAAATGAGTTTTGAAAAATCATGTCTACAATTTGTCACTCATTTTAAATCCCATTGTTGCCCTTCGGTTCTTATTAATATATAAGAATATCAAACACAAAATGACTTCTCTAAAATAGGTACTTTAGAGGAGTTGGCCCAAAACCTGAAACAGAGCCCTTTAAAATGGTACTTGGGGCAGAACCTGTCTCAGGATCACCACAACCAGCAGCTGGCAGGTGACAGCCTCAACGCCTGACTTCCCAGGACCCGCTCATCACCCGGGGAAGATCCGACAGCACTAGCCCTCCTGCCTCATCATCGCTGCGCTTCTGGCAGGCGGAGCCCCGTTCTCGTCCACGGCAGTCCACACCTCCGTCTCTGCAGGCGTACGCGGGTCTCGGGAATCACCTCCGGAGCCCACTCAGCAGCGGGGAGGGCGAGGGCGAAAGCGAGAGCCAGGAAAGCCCGGGCTCTCGCTGTAAGCCCCGCGCTCAGTGGTGTCCCCCTCCCCTCGGTGGTGGGGCCGCGGATACCTCCTCAGCCGCCTCAGCTGTCGGAGTTCAACTGGTGGGCGGCCCGTCCCGCCGTGGCCGCCACCGCCGGGTCCCCTCAGAGGCCTCACAAAGCCATGCTCCAGCCGCCCGCACCTGATTGACCGACCCCGGGCTCTGGCTCTGCCTCGCGCCGCCACCGCCTCCGCCGCCGCGCACGCGCACTTCGCGCGCCTCTGTTCCCGGACGGCCCCCAGAGCGGGAACGCCAGGCTGCGAGCTGCTGGCACCTGTCTGCCTGCCAGACAGACCCTGGGCTCCGGCCTCGTGCCGGCACGCGCACGCGCACGCGCCTCGCGCGCCTGCCGTCGGCCCTGGGGGCGGGACCGCGCGGCAGCGAGCGGGCGGGGGGCTCGTGGCGCGCGCGCCCCGCACCCGAGGGCTGCGGAGAGATATTTTGGGTGGCAGGAGGCCCCTCGTCATTTCCGCCGGGCAGCTAGTCGTGCTCGGGGCTTCACTCCCGCGCGTGAGGCGAGCGGGCAAGTTGGCTGAGGGCGTGCGGCAGAGGCTGCTTCCCTCGGCGACGCGACCCCTCAGCAACTCAAGCTATGAACTGAAGCTCCCTAGGGACGGAGACCGGAGCGGAGCGGCGGAGGCAGCAGCAGCAGCAGCAGCAGCAGCAGCAGCAGCAGCCGCCGCCGCCGCCGCCTTAGCGGGAACTGAGCAGACCCGGCGCGGAGCCACGACTCCTGCACGTTTACCTCCCTGTCGCCGTTCCTGCCGGCGGTTGGCTAAAAGACGTTACAGCCGCGAGACCCGACACACAAAAGCCGCTTTCTCCGCGCCGCCCGCCCAGGGAGGCTGCGGCCAGCAAGGGACCCCACCTGAGAGCAGCTCGGGCTGCTGAGTTCGTTTTGTGTCTGAGCTCTGCGCTCTGCACGGAACCGACCCCGTACCCATGGCTCTGATAATGGAACCGGTGAGCAAATGGTCTCCGAGTCAAGTAGTGGACTGGATGAAAGGTAATGCCCGCTGCGGGGAGGGTGAGGCGGCACTGGGGCGCGGGGCACCAGTGCGAGGTTAGGAGGGGGCGCCCGCCGCGCCAGAGCCCGCCACCGCGGCTTCCACTGGCGGATCGTCGTACGCGTCGGGGCGGGGGTCCTCCAGGACTGGCAGGGGCCTGGGGTCCCCGGTCTCCTTTTGTCTCCAGCTAGAGGGGCGCGGAGCGGCCAGAGAGCTAGAGGGCAGCGGGCGCCACCCCGTTGGAGGCAGGAAGTCGGGAGGCAGAATACCGGCGCATCTTGCGTACTCCCCTCTCCCCTTACTGCCCCCGGGCCAGGAGGACGTGGCGACCCTTATCTCCCAGCTCAGGGTGGACTCCCCCAGGACCTGCTCCCCTGGTCGCCCTTTCCTGGCCCCTTTGTTCCTGGGAAAGCTGACGCCCCCTCGGCGGCCGCCCTTGCCAGGTGCCTTCCCCAGCGCCAACTCTCCCAAGCAACTTTTAGCCCACATAATGGGGTCAGGACGCGGCCGCCCCCATTCGGAGCCTGGCATCCCCCCACACCCAGATTTGGCTGAGGATGCCCAGGGTGGGGGTATGTGCTACTTTGAGGGTGAGGACATCATGCTTCCCCTGGGACAGCATCCTTGCTGCTGTCTCTGGGCTGCCTCCAGCGCATCCCCTCGCATCCTTTGCCTTCTCTGCTTTCTCCCTTTCAAGCCAGTCGAGGTTTTGGACCTCACGGCTTTTTATTAAGGGCTCAACGCCAGATGTAAGGTGATGCGCATTCAGGTACCTTCACATTTCTTCCATCTTGAAGGTTCCCCCTTTTGTCCCTGGCGATTTATAATAACCACAGTTATAGACACTCACCCTCCTAATCGCAAACGTGAGCTTTTTTTCTGATCCCTGGGCTTTCCTGTCTCACTACCTCCCTCTGTTGTCTGAGTTAAGGGGCTTGTAGAGGACTCCCCCACCCACCAACCCCTTGGATCCTCAGGCCCAACTCTTCCCTAAGATTTTGGGAATTGAAGAGGGGATGGATGGGATGGAATGGAATAAAGGATGCGTGGCCACACTTGGGAAATGTTAGCGCTTTGCTCGAGGTCATACCTGAGCAAACTCTAGGTAGATCAGTCAGGGACCAAAGGCTTATTATCGCTGAAAATGCCCGTTCCTACGATGAAGGAGCCCCTTCTTGGGCTTACTTAACAGTCAGACTTTCTAAGCTCCAGATAATTTAGAACGAAAGGTGAGGTGATTGGGAGGGATTGAGAGTGACAGGGAGAAACTGATTTTTTTTGCTCATTCTTTTCCCCAGCCTTTTTGGCCGCTTGCTTATTCTTGTGGATTTTTCTTTATTTTGCTTTCCTTTTATTCCCTTACTTGCCCCTTTATTCCTCATTTACTTTGCTTTTCTTTTCTAATATGTGGAAACTGCTTTGTAACTGCTAAGCAGTACAAATGTGAGTGAATTGAATTAAACCTAATACATTATTTATCGACTGCACCCCTGTGTGCAGTGCATTGTGCTAAGGTGCCATGGGGGATATAAAGATGACTAAGACAAAGTCCTGCAGTGGCTCATCTTTGCTGCTGCTTTTTCTCTTTATGTATTTGCTATTGAAATTCCAATATCTTAGATTCCCACCAATTATCCTCACTCTCCACCTTCTCCGTTTCTCAGTGATGGAAGAAAGAGCCAGAGTATATACAGGAAGCAACAATGCTTAAAACCCCGTTCTTTGAATTTGTCTAAAAGGTTACTTTAGTTTGAGTCTGTTGCTGAAATATTAAAAGACAAGCTATCTTGGCTCCATGGGAGTCTGATTACCTTCATAGACTACCTTTCGCAAATTCCCATGATGCCTGTAGTGAGTGCTGCATACTCAGTCTCCACCTCCCACCCTCCCAGTTATATTCTTGCAGTTTCCCCTCTCTCCATAGTTTAGGTCCACTGAAGCAAGTAGAATATATGATGCACCTATTCTGACACACATTATTAGTTGTCCAGTACACCAGTCCTTTAAAAATCTTTCCAGCCTAAAATGTGGCTTCTTTGAAGTTAGGTTAACATTGTTAGCTGTGATTTGAAAATTTTTTTTAAATGTAAGTCGAATACCTTGTTTTCATACCTGTTGGTGACGCATTTTAGAGCTATTTGAAAAGATCAATTGGGTAGCCAAGATAGTTTGTGTATCGTGTATACATATGACTGGAAGAGAATGAATGATATAATTACCTGTATATTTCAAATCCCAGACTACTTACTGCTGAAATTTCCTTAATATTCATATATATTTGATTTGAGATATTATCAGAAAATGAGATTTTAAAAAATAGTTGGATGAAACAAACATTTCCTCAACTTGTAACTTACACTGTTACCTTAATTTTTCTCTCTTTGCCCTTTTCCCCAAATAAAGTTAAACAAAGGACATTTTAAAAATATTTTTCATCCTGCAGTAATATTTAAAAGTCAACTGCTAATTTAGGCTATAGCTTTGAGATGGCTAAACCTCATTTAGTGTTGTATAATATGTAGTGTTGTAAAGGCAGTACCAAAGAATGAACAAGACTGTTGAACAACTGCAATGTGGGAGTTCTTCAGAGGATGCTCCTAATGAGACAGTTTCATCATCCTTAGCATTAAAAGCATATAGTATATGCTTTCAGCTGGTCACAATCATAAATAGTTGTAACTCTGTTTAGTAAGGTACATTCTTTATGTACTTTCTAGGGTATTTTTTTCTTCACTAAACAGAAAAAGAATCGCTAAGTGTGTAAGAATAGGAATGGCCATATATTTATGATTCTAGACAATTTGTAGAAGTGGTATAGAAACTCAGTCCCAGAGAGGGAAATGAAGGGGGAAAAAAAGCTGACAAGATTATTAAGCTTTAGTGGCATATATTCAAGATTATTTATGAGGGACAATTTTTACATTGCAATTTTGATGCAATGTATAAATGGATTCATTTTGATTGATCAATTTTTATTAAAATATTTGAGGGAGATGGAAATATAAAATGTATATATTGTTAGTAGTAAAAATATAAGGAAATCCTTGTATTCTTTTGCTCACCAACTTCATTATTTGTAAAATCAAATACTCAACTAAATTTTCTACTGACAGTAAAAATTGGATATGACACAGTGTCAATGTTATTTCCAGTAAGTACATGAACTCCTTATGAGTCAGTGAAATAAGTAGCTATATCCCAAATTATCCTGATAGTACTTCTGGCTATTTGGAGATATCTTATAGACCTTCAAATTAATTTTTAATATTAATCTTATAAAAATATTTTTGGAGAAAATCAAATACTCATAATTTAGCATTTGAAACTGACCTTCTTCAATTGGAAATTGCATCCAATCCTCTTGTAGTTTTTATATTTTAAAACATAAACTATTTTCAAGGTAAATAGAGGCAAATAAGTTATTGGAAAAAGCCATAGGCAGAAAAGTAGGCCAATAATTGTTCTAATTTTTCCTCCATCTGTTATTCTAAAATAAGTTATTTCTCAGCTCCTACCTGTTCACTTGCAGGGCCTGGAAATATTTCATAATTTGCAGTTATTTGAGTCCCCAGACCATCTCTACTTTTTTGCCCACTGAAATATAACAAAAACCCCTGAATGCTTTAGGGCCCCTGTTATTAACTTTATTATTAATTTTCCTAGTCCGTGTCACACCCAGTCTTTCCATTTTTTTTTCTTACATCTTTTCCAACTCTGAGACTCATTCAAAATATCCACATGACTAAGTTATTTTTCTAGGACTCAGCTCCCTACATTACATTCTTCCAGTAATCTTTAATCTCTCTGGGTCAAATAAAATGATTATGACTTTTCAGAGTTAACCAATAGGCCCCATTTTGCTTGTCTTCTCTTACCATCTCTGTGATTTAGCTCCAGCCACTTTTGTATTATTATGATTCTTAAAATAATCTAAATTTTTAAGATAGCCTTTTCTCAACCCATTCCACAATCAACTGCTCTACTCTTTCCTGTTTACTATAAATCATTTCTTCAAGAGGCATTCTCTGACTTCTAATTTCTGTCCTGATGACTCAGCCATCTTGAGGATAGAAAATAAAATACATTCTTTTAGGTATAAAAAGCAAAACCAATGTTTTGTATACAGTCCTGTAATAGAGGAAAATGTAGTGATTATATAAAGTCTAGTCAGTATAAAAGTTAAATGCTGTAAAGGAGAATGTGTTGGATAAGGCAAAGATGTTTTGACAGGTACAATACTCTTTAGTAATTCTTTTTTCCCGTCATAGGACCCAGAGCTGAGGTTGAAATTTGTCTTTGTTACATAAAGGAAAATATCAAAATTTTGAGTTAAACTGTCTTGAGAGAGAGATTGGAAATAATTTTCTGGCAGGAACTGCAAATAAGCTTAAGTGATCAAATTGTATCACTTCCTTTTGAAAACTTAGGGTTTTTTTTCAATTGAAAGGTGACTAAATTGGCACCAACAATTGTCTACTTTGGATTTGACTTTTTTGGGGAACAGGAATTCTTGTCATTTTATGTAAAGAAGAAATATATCTTTTCCATATGTAGAATTTCGTTCAGAAGAAATGTTATTTTTCTTATAGTGTTATTAACATTTGCTCCTTAATGTAACACTCATGATTTAGTGCAGATTAGGAACAAGGAGTATATTTATGTAGATATATTTGCTCCATAGATATTATTTTCTCAGTGCTTTTGCATGGAGGGTGCTTTAATGGGTTGTTTTAAATTAATTATTCTCTGCTTTGGGGAAATTAGCCTCTGTAAGGGATGGTAGTGACATTGACAAACTTAGGCAAAGACAGAGAGAGGTGCCAACTAGCACATGTAGTAATTTTTTAAAGGCTGTATATGAGCACCATTGGAAAGAGAAGATGATAATTTTATTGAATCAGGAAGGGATCTGTGAGGAGGGTGGGGTTCTAGCAACTATTTAAGCTACTTATTTAATTAAGGCATAATCTAAGAGGGATGTATACTAAATGTAGCGGCACAGCAAGAAACTCTAGAGTTGAAATGGGGTTATTAACTAAAGGGGGGTTGTATATAGGTTTGTCTGGATGAAGGAGAGAGGTGGGCAGTAGAGGGAAAGTGAGGGAGGAGCATGAGTAGGTGGCACAAAAGTACAAGAACAAATCTGCATTTCACAAAGACAATAAAACTCTCATCATGTCCTGAGTTTAAATAAATGCCACATTATAAAACTTTAGCTGCCAAAAATAAGCCCACAAAGAATGTGTATTGAATTGGTACAGCTGTTTCAAATCTGTTTTTCAGGAATGATTTGAAAATAATGTTAAATTATTTTGAAGACAAATCATTAACATGTTGTTAGATATTTCGAATTTTACTGAACCAAGTTCTTATATGAAGAATGGAAATAGACTTTTAAGTATTAATACTGTTCTTAAAGCAATGATAAATTATCATTTTTATTTATAACAGAGCAACCCTAGATTAGGGCTCAATTTGTTCTTTTTTTTTTTTTTTTTTTTTGAGATAGAGTCTTGCTCTTTCACCCAGGCTGGAGTGCAGTGGCACAATCTCAGCTCACTGCAACCTCCGCCTCCTGGGTTCAAGTGATTCTCATGCCTCAACCTCTCAAGTAGCTGGGATTACAGGCACCCACCACCACCCCTGGCTAATTTTTGTATTTTTTAGTAGACACGGGATTTCACCATGTTGGCCAAGCTGGTCTTGAACTCCTGACCTCAAGTGATCCACCTGCCTCGGCCTCCTAAAGTGTTGGGATTACAGGCGTGAGCCACTGCACCCAGCCTCAATTTGTTCTTAATGACTTTTAGCTTTCTATGTGTCTTCCCTGCAGTACCTCACACATAAGGGTTATTGTGAAGAATAAAGTTATTAGCTTCTAAAAAGAGTACTAAAAGAGTGGATCATCTGTACTAATTTTAAAAAAGGTTGGGGGAAGGGAGTATAAAGTAATTTGAAAAAAATTGAGTCTAAAAGTTTTAATTGTTCATGGCTTTTTATTGTTTAGTGTCTGATTAAAAACAGCAAGTATAGTCTTCAATGTGGAATCATTGTGTTGAATTACATTCGGTGAGGGAATTCACAGTTTTCATGTATAGCATAGGCCTGTATTCCTCAAAATGGTATATTTTTGTGGTTGTGGAAGCCAAATGATCAAAAGAAGCCAAAGAGTTGTGTTTTTTTTGTTTTTTGCTAAGCTTTTTAAAACATTATATTAAAACAAACATGGATATTATATTCATGATGTAGAAAGCAAAATTGGCATTATTTCAAAGATGAGACCAGAGACTTAACAGGAATTTTAGGCTTGCAACAGGCTGTTTAAAGCTGTATTCTCCAGACCTCCCAGGGCTGAGTACACTCTTTTGAGCAATTACAGATGCATCAGTGGAAAAGTTGGAGAAGTGGTGGTTGAGTTTAAAAAAGGTAAAATTAATGTACTCTGTTTCCCTTTTTTTCCTATTACCACAAGGCACAAAATATGACCATTTTCAGTCGAGGTCATGATAATTGTAGCATCTTAATTTTGTTTATTTGTTTGATCCATACACCTGCAGTCAGGATGAATTCCTTGAAAATAAATCTCATCCGATCTCATTCTCTCACTTCTTACCCTCATCAGTTTAAAACAATTTAATGACTTCTCATTGTTTTTAGGATAAAGGTCAAAGTCCTTAACATGGCCTATAAGACTCTTGAAGGTTTGGCCATTGCCTATGAGGTAAGCGTCATGCCCAGCACCAAGTATGCAGGCTGCCTCACCGTCCTTCCTGTTTGCCTACCACTGGACATTTGCACTTAATATGTTCCCTATCCCTCTTCACCTAGTTAAGTCTTACTCACCCTTCACGTCTTAGGCTTTTTCTCATCCACCTTAGGAAAGCCTTTCCAGATTTGTTAAATCACATCAAATCCTCAGTTATATGCTGTCCTAGTACCATGTATATCTCCTGTGTCCCATTCACCAGTTTTATTTTTATATTAATTTGGATGGTTATTTGATATCCAACTCCCCCACTAGATGAGTGCAGGGACCCCATCTATTTCTTGTACCAGTGTGTAAAAAAGTATCTGGTATGAAATAGGCACTTAGAAAATATTTGTTGAGAGAAGGAATAAATTAATTTATTCACAGATTACTGGTCTGTCAGCAAATCTGCTTTCCTAAATGACAATGCACGTAAAGTCCCTTATAATGCTCTAATGGATACTTCAGTGCCAACTTGTATATTGTGTGCCAGAATACAGTAGAAGTAGGGTTGCTTTATCCATTTCTCATAGTTGTAGTGCTCTAGCCAATTCAAAGATACGAATCATGGTTTAAACTTATTTTGTTACAAAATATTAATAATTTCAGGAAATTAATAACACTTTGGTGTTTATGCCATATTATAAATAGTATAAATATTACTTACTAATATCACTTAGTAAGACAACATGATAAGCAAATACTTATTAAAACATTAAAACACACTCCTTCTCCTAAGCATTTATTTCCCTTCATTCAAATTTTCTAATTGTTTCTTCATTTGGGTATTTTTTAAAGAACTCTATATATCTTAGAATGCATGATGGAGTGAAATTGATCAGATGTCTTAATTTTGTCCTCATAAAAATAAAAACAAAAAGCTCATATAAAAAATTAAAATGCATTATTCTGTTGTGAGGATATCCTTTATTTGTTAATTGGGACGATAAAATGGAAAAACAACCCTTGGGCTTAATGAAACCATTATCTTATTTATTATATTTAGTGTTCAATTTGCATTTTTATTAATAGGAATACAATTAAGGTATTTAAAGGTGCATCTTAAATCAGCATTTTCTTGTGTAATTTTTCACCGTTCCCTCTGATTTTGAAAAAAAGAAAACTTTAAAAACTAGATGTAAGTTTATCATTACTAATTTTTGAAGGGCACTTGTTAAGAACATACGTACAGAATTATTGCAAAGCATAGTTTGCTAAATACAGGTGCCTCAAGTGGATTTTCTATGAATTACATGCTGCTAGATAATCACTAGTAGGCAACTTACCAAAATTTTTCTAATAAAGCCTGCCTCCTCCCAATTTAGAATCATTAAAATACAAATCAGAGTAAGTGAAATTGTAAAGATCTTAATAGGCATGCCAGTTTGTTAACTCTTTATAAAACACCATCAGGCTTAAATGCTCTAGCTAGTACTGCAAAACAATGGATTGCAATTGTGCCCTGATTTGACTTGCAAACAACTATTCTACAAGATGGAATTTTTAAATTTTAAAGATGTATTTAATTTATTGTTTGATTTTAATTTAAATCACAATCATTAATTCTAATGGAAGTTTTCATTATCTTACTCTTGCAATTTCAGGAAAAAAGAGTTTGTTGCTATTTGCATAAATGCATTGAACTTTAAATTTTACTAAAGTGCAGTAATAACTGTTTTAGCTCTCTTTGTTCATCTGTTGACTATTTTACCACAACATAAAATTGTTTGAAAAATCAAAATTTATTTAGTAAACCAAAACTTGCACTGACACCAATATATGATAGTTTGTCATGATAAAAATATTGTTACATAACTAATATCAAGTATAGCATACATGACTCTTATGTGTTTACTTGGCATTAATGTTCTTAGAAATTAAGTAGGTTGGATGGTCTTTAGATACAGTGGTAGATAAGAAGAAACCTCATTAAATTAGTTGCGTTTTTAAATGTTGCTCAATATCTTTTTTTTTTTTTGGTGTTTGTTTGAACTTTTTATTTTGTTCCAGATACATCTGCTATTTTTAAAACAGGCTTGCAACATGTTTTCTTAAGTAATAGCTAGAACAAATCGATGGAAGCCTGGCTTAGATCCTAGATTTTCCTTTTTTCAACTTATTTACCAAAGATTGTAAAAGAATCTATTTTCTAGTAACTTGTTAGTTATACTTAGCAATGTAATTTATTAGTAAAAACCTTTAACAATGCTGGCATTAAATAATACAGCTGAATGATTAATGTTAACACTGGCTGAATTTTTGTTTTAATTTTGGTGTGTTTTTTATGTGTATATAGGAACTTATTTTGTATATTTTTTCAGAAAATTGATATTTTAATTTTGTGAAAATCATTTATATTTTGGTTTTCAAAACAGGCCATTGGGATATTAAATACATATAACAGAGAAAGTGTAGAGATTTTGCTCATGATGCTCAAAACAGACATATAGTAGTCCAGTGGCTAGTTTTCCTCCTGGCCTGCTGGAACTTACGTAGAAACCAAGTTTGATGTGGTATAGAGCTAGCATGATATGGCAGGGCTAGGTGCTCTTTCCCCATTTCCTATTATATTGGTGTCAGGATGAGCTTTGTGGCAGTCTCTGTTGGCACTAATGTTACATTAAATCAAAGGAACAAGGCTTCCTTATCCAGAAGCCTGCTCTGTTGCCTTCTAGCTGTCAGACCAGAGACTTTCAGTTTGATGTTGAATTGACACACACAGAGTAGTTAGTTCTGTGAAATATTTGGGTTAGATGATTTTTCTTTCCAGTGGCCCTAGACATAATGCTTTGAGTTTATTTATGGTAAAAACCTGTTAATTGAGATTCTGTTTATTTGGGATTTGTGATAATTTCACTGTGCTCCTATTGAAGATTACTGTTAATATGTGAAGGAAAGGTTTGCTGATCAATCTAATAATGCAAACAAGATTGGAAAGAAATTGTTTGACCTGGGAGAATACAATGTTTTTGTACTATACTTTGCCAGGAGCCACTTACATACTGAAAATATGCTAGTTAGAAAGGAGCTGTATTTTTACTTAGAATTTCTGTATACTTAGAATTATCAGTCTTTATTTTTTGGAGTATTTTCCAAACATTATTTAATATAGCTTGGTTCTTCTCATTCACCCAAATTGGAAAGGTCATGTACTTCACATTATATTATTGCTAGTAATCTTTAAAAGTGAGATAAGGGAGAGTTATTAACACCTTTTTATAGGTAAAGTACAGAGAAGTTAAGCAGCTCAACAGAGATTGTACAGCTGTTCAGTGAAATTAGGTTTGACGTCAACTTTTCTCCTACTGGATTGGATTTACAATTTAGTGGGCAAAGGACACAATTCAGATAGGTACACAATGGTTTTCAGAATTGACCTTTTAAAATTTTTTTCTGAATTTTCTACCCTTTAAAAATTGGCATAATATGTAATATAGTACAGGTAAGAGCACTTTGGAATCATGATACCTGGGTTTGTATCCTGACTTTATCACTTCTTAGCTTGTGTGATCTTAGGGAGAGTTTAAGTAATTTTCCCAAGTTTTCTCCTTTTTATAAAATGGGGATGCTGGTATTACCTACAATTACCAATCTAAAAGATGTTTCTACATTTTGCCACATTTTTCTGTTGTGGTATACTTAAAACAATGCCTTGTATATAGTAAGCACATATAAATGTCAACTTTTTTAAAGGAAGAGATTATATTCTGTTGGCAATATTCAGAGGCAGAACTAATAATAGATTATATTTATTAAGTGCTTACTACATACTGTGTCCTGTGCTAGGTGCTTTCCCTACATTACATTTAATGCCTGTCTTAGCCCTGAAAGGTTGGACTTAATCCCTATTTTACAGATGAAGGAACTTTGGCTTAGAGAGATTTTTACTTAGAAATGTTGAATGACTTGTCCTATATACCTGTATATTTATTAAGCAGGTGTTTGTTTTAAGTATTGATTTCTGATTGGTTCCAAAATACCTAATATTTCCACCTTGCTTTTCTAGCAGAGGTAGATGTGACGTGAGAGGAATCCTGGAAATACTTTTCAAAGATGTGTATGTCCTCTCCATCAGACCTACCTTCTCTAGTATCTGGTAAGGTGGGCTATAGTTTTTGTGTCCTTTGGGCTTCTAGTGAGATGTGCGTGTGCGCGTGTGTATGCACGATGAGTTGTTTCTACTTCTCAGGATAGGGCTTTCATTAGTGACAAAGATGCCACATATTACTGTAGTCTTGGTGACAGCTTTTGTATTTTGAAGTGACCCCTAGAGTTTGATGTTCCCCTCTGCTGAGTCTGGATGTAGGCAAAAAAAAAAAAAAAAAAAAAAAAGCCTACCCTGAGCACTACTGCCAAGAACCCAGTGCTGAGATGTTTTGTTATCAAAGGATTGTTAATATGTGGTGCCTGATAATAGACATTCATAAGTATATCACATTTTACCAAAAATAATGATGTTTTGTTAAGATTTACTCAGCAGTGGTTAGCCTTGCTACCTGCATTTCATTAGTGTTTCTTTGAACAGCAGACATTTTTTGGTGCGTTCCTATGGATCCGAAACCCTTATATACCTACAAAATGTTAATTCATCTCCTCAAATTGTTTTGTTTGGAGACATTTATCATAGACCAAATTGTGATATGATAGGAAAGTTTAGTGAATCACGAAAGCAATTTTAATGCTAGAGGAAATTTAATCATAATTAGTTAAAAAACTATTGTGAAATAAATGCAAAATATGGAGTGGTCAAGTTGAATTAGAGATATTTGACCAATGGAGTGCTTGTAAAATGGTAATGAAAGGCACAATTCCATCTACATTATATTTGAAAGTGATACACATAATTTTGTATATGTTTTAAAAATATGTATTCTAGTATATATGTGGAAACTTAAGTAGGATTTGTTCAAAGTTATGCAAACATGATATTTTCTGTTTCTCCTTGCTTTCTTTTAATAGAAAGAGTTAAGGTGAGTTTGCTTCAGACTGGAAGTGTTAAAATAAGTGAAAATAACTTAAATTGTTCTTTACTTGTGGAGAGAATGGTTTGAAGTTTCTCACTTTTTATAAAAGCTATTACAATACCCAGGACAATAGAACCTTAAAAAAAATTGTGAACTGTGGTAGATTACCAACCACTTTGAAGTTACCTTAGTCTTGTCTCTCTGACTCTGTAAAGCACCTTTTTCTCCTAAATTGCTCATTATCCTTTAAAATTCATATGAATTAAAATTAATTTTGTTTGGGGATGTTTTTGAGAATTTCATCACTTTCTTTGAAATAATTGTTGACACCTTGTTTTAAAAAACAATCTGGTTTAAATATGGTAATACTGTGAATCTCCATCTACATTAATTTTAAGATGTATCTGATTTAATGTTTAAAGGCAGTGGTTTCTTATGTTTCAGATTTTCAAATGAAGCTGCTTATTCTTAAACATATGCATACTGGAAACTAATGCATGCACATAGAAAATAAATACAGCAGCGGGCTGGATGTGGTGTCTCATGCCTGTAATTCTAGCACTTTGAGAGGTTGAGGTGGGCAAATCACTTGAGCTCAGGAGGTCGAGATCAGCCTGGGCAACATGACGAAACTCTGTCTCTACAGAAAATACAAAAATTAGCCAGGCATGGTGGGGCACGCCTTTAGTCCCAGCTACTCAGGTGGCAGAGGTGGGAGGATCACCAGAACCAGGAAGGTCGAGGCTGCAGTGGGCTGTGGTCGCGCCACTGTACTCCAGCCTGGGTGATAGAGTGAGACCTTGTCTCCAAAAAGAAAAAGAAAAGAAAAGAAATACAGCAGAATAGCTGAGGAACTATAACACTATTATCACGCCACCGTCCATTCATTCCTTAATATCAATATCTGTATGTACAAATTTCTAGTTTCATAAATGTCAAACACTTTTTTTTCTTCAATCAGAACCCAAATCAGGTGCACACATTGTAGTCTAGCTCATTCTTTTTTCCTATGTCAATCTTTTTGGATGTTTTACATAACAGATGTTATGTAATATCTCCTGAAATAAAATTCAGATAATATAACCTACCTAGTCACATAATTTTTTTAAAACTCACTAAAATGCCCTTATTGTAATAAAAAGAAAAACACATAATAAAATAATATGGGTTTCTATATGTACATACTCAGTATGACTATACAAGAAGAAAATAATTGATATTTTTCCTACTTTTTTTTTTGTTTGAGATGGAGTCTCGCTCTGTCGCCCAGGCTGAAGTGCAGTGGTGTGATCTCGGCTCACTGCAAGCTCCGCCTCCCGGGTTCACGCCATTCTTCTGCCTCAGCCTCTCGAGTAGCTGGGACTACAGGCGCCCGCCATCACGCCCGGCTAATTTTTTGTATTTTTAGTGTACACAAGGTTTCACTGTGTTAGCCAGGATGGTCTCGATCTCCTGACCTCGTGATCCGCCCACCTCAGCCTCCCAAAGTGCTGGGATTACAGGTATGAGCCACCGCGCCAGGCCTATTTTTCCCTACTTTTAATGAACATATCTGGATTTAAAAGAAGTGTTAAAATCAGAAGTTGTTCCATAGAGTGTACAAGAGAAAATGGAAGAACAGATGAACTAATAGACAGTGAAGTAAAAACAAATATTAGGAGAAATGTTAATGGACCAGACTCATTTGATGAGCCATTCTAGTAATTCCTATTGAACATTTGAAAGTCATGAGTGAAGGAAACAGCTTTTTGGAGAATGTTATATTCTAGGGCTGGGATAGGGAATATGCGAGAAGAGCCTGGAGCATCCTGTAGTGCCATAAAGTAAGGAAGTGTTCAAAAAACACAATGATGAGGGCATGTAAAAGACTGAAAAGCCAATCTGAAAGAGCTTCCAATAGCTAAAGCTGGAACAATTTGAACAATAAAGTATTACAGTATTGGATTATAACCCAACATATAAAATAAATATATTCATGGATCCATCCTGATAGATAGAAATGTCTAGATAAGTAGAGAAATGGAGGAGAAGAGACAAATCATCCATGTAGAGAATTACAAATCATTTATATACATACTCCCTAACTCCCACCACAAAGAGGTGGCACTTAAATCCCCACTCCTTGATTGTAGGTTGCATTTAGTGACTTGTTTCCAGAGAGTAGAGTATGAAAAAGGGGAAACATACAACTTTATAGTGGAGAAACCTGGCAGTTGCTACCTTGGCCAAGTGATCAAGGTTAACATCATCAGTGATAAGTCATGTTGATAGCATGTACCCATGATACGATGTGATATGATGTGATGTGATATGATTGATATGATATGATGAGAATGGTTCTTTATCTCTGTGGTCTTTCTTTACTCCCCACAAACCCATAACCCCATTCTAACCATGAGAAAAACGTAAGAAAAGCCCACATTTAAGGACATTTTTCAGAATACCGAACCAATACTCCACAAAACTGTCAAGGTCACCAATAACAAGGAAAATGTGAGAAACTTAAAAACCAGAAAAGGCTAAGGAGACATGATAATTAGTTATATTATGGCATTCTAGATAGGATCTTGGAATGGAAAAGTACGTTAGGAAAAATAATGAAATCCAAATAAAGTGTGGAGTTTAGTTTATTATTAGCAATATAACAAGGTTGGTTCCTTAATGTAGTGAATGTACATAGTAATGTGAGATATTAATAATAGGAGAATATGGGTGAAGAGTATACAGGAACTCTTTATACTATTTTTTGCAACTTTTCTGTAGATGTAAAACTATTCTGAAATTTTTAAAAAGTTGTTCAAATAAAAAAGTTACAGTATTTTTCAAATTTGGTAATACCAAAAGATAAGCTATGTCTCATATATGAATAGTTTTGTTTTGCCTCTCTGGAAGTATTAATAATGAAGTCTTTCAAATAAAAAAGGGCACTTGGGATATAGAGTTGTTCTTCACTATGTGGGATTGTTCCATCCATGGATCTAGCAATCATTCAGTAACCTAATCATTGTGATAACCCAGTACTACTCATAATTCTCAAAATGCTCCCAGGAAACAATATTGGCCCTGGCCTGGCATCAGGATCCCTGGCCTTACCACTTTTCTTTTTTGTAAACCTTATAGTTTTCCACGTGTGAACATTTTTTAAATTTTATGAATACATATTGTTGTGATTTGAAAAATAATTTTATTGAATGAATGTTATACTTTGTTTTCATTCTACTAAATTTAATCTTTTATTTGATTAGCATTTTTTACCTTTTGCTAATCAGGAAATATGTTTAAGAAAAGGAGATTAAATGTACATGGATAGGATGGAGACCACCAAAAGTTAGCTCCATCTTCTCATTTTACCTTAATGCTAAACAATTTGCAATTAAACTCTCAGACAGAAGAGTGTGCTATTCTAAACATTGTTAACAAAGCTTGACTCCCAGTGTTCCTTCTAATTGTAGTTTCTGTTTCCTGTAGGCAATTTGTGTGGGAATGTTAAGCAAGGCATGATAATTTTTAAGTAAATAAATCTTGTGGTTTATAATTGATAATCAGCTGTATATATAAATGTGTGTATAAATATGCACACACATTTACTTAGGGCAGATATTTAGTTACCTAGGGCAGTATATTAGTCTGTTCTTGCATTACTGGCATAAAGACCTACCCGAGACTGGGTAATTTATAATGAAAAGAGGTTTAATTGGCTCACAGTTCCACAGGCTGTACAGGAAACATGGCTGGGGAAACCTCAGAAAACTTTCAATCATGGCGGAAGGTGAAGGGGAAGCAGGCACGTCTTACATGGCTAGAGAAGGAGGAAGAGAGCAAAGGGAAAGGTGCCACACACTTTGAAACAACCAGGTCTCATGAGCACTCACTCACTATCACGAGAACAGCAAGGGGGAAATCCACCCCCATGAGCCAATCACCTCCCACCAGGGCCCTCCTCCAACATTGGGGATTACAATTCGACCTGAGTTTTGGGTGGGGCCACAAATCCAAACCATATCATTCTGCCCCGGCCTCTCCCAAATCTCATGTCCTTCTCACATTGCAAAATACAATCATCCCTTCTCAACAGCCTGCCAAGTCTTAACTTATTTCAGCATTAACTTAAAAGTCTACAGTCCAAAGTCTCATCTGAGACAAGGCAAGTTTCTTCCATCTATGACACTGTAAAATCAAAACCAAGTTAGGTACCTCCAAGATACAATGGGGTTACAGGCATTGGGTAAATACACCCATTCCAAAAGGGAGAAATCAGCCAAAAGAAAGGGGCTACAGGACCATGCAATTCTGAAACCCAGCAGGGCGGTCATTAAATCTTATAGCTCCGTAATTACCTCCCTTGACTCCATGTCTCACATCCAGGCCACACTGATGCAAGGGGTGGGTTCCCAAGGCCATGGGCAGCTCTGGCCCTGTGTCTTTGAAGGGTACAACCCCCTTGGTGGCTATCCCAGGCTGGCACTGAGTGCCTACGTCTTTTCCAGGTACATGGTGCAAGCTGTTGGTAGATCTGCCATTCCGCAGTCTGGAAGATGGTGGTCCTCTTCTCACAGCTCCACTAGGCAGTGCCCCAGTGGGGACTCTGTGTGTGGGCCCCACATTTCCCCCCCACATTGCCCTAGTAGAGGTCATCCATGAGGTCTCCTCCCCTGCAGTAGACTTGTGCCTGGACATCCATACATTTCCATAGATCCTCTGAAATCTAGGCAGAGGCTCCCAAGCCTCAACTCTTACCCTCTATGCACCCGCAGGCTTAACAACATGTGGAAGCTGCCAAGGTTTACAGCTTGTACCCTCTGGATCAGCAGCCTAAGGTGTATCTGGGGTCCTTTTAGCCGCAGCTGGAGCTGGAGTGGCTGGGGACACAGAAAGCAGTGTCCTGAGGTTGTACAGGGCAGCCAGGCTCTGGGCCCAGCCTACAAAAACCATTCTTCCCTTCTAGGCCTCTGGGCCTCTGACACGAGGGGCTGCTATGAAAGTTTCTGAAATGCCTTTGAGGCCTTTTCCTCATTGTCTTGGCTATTAACTTTCAGCTCCTCTTTACTTATGCAGATGTCTACAGCTATCTTGAATTCCTTCCCAGAAAATGGGTTTTTCTTTTGTACCAGATAGTCAGACTGCAGATTTCTGAACTTTTATGCTCTGCTTCCCTTTTAAATATAAGTTCCAGTTTCATACCATCTCTTTGGTCATGCATATGACCATACGCTATTAGAAGCTACCAGGCCACTTCTTGAATGCTTTGCTGCTTAGAAATTTCTTCTGCCAGATACCCTAAATCATCACTCTGAAGTTCAAAGTTCCACAGATCCCTTGAGCAGGGGCATAATGCTGCCAGTCTCCTTGGTAAAGCATTGCAAGAGTGACCTTTACTGCAGTTCCCAATAATTTCCTCATTTCCATATGAGGTTACCTCAGCCTGGACTTGACTGTCCATATCACTATCAGCATTTTGGTTACAATCATTCAACAAGTCTCTAAGAAGTCCAAACTTTCCCTCATCTTCCTGTCTTCTTCTGAGCCCTCCAGACTGTTCCAACCTCTGCCCATTACCAAGTTCCAAAACTGCATCCACATTTTTAGGTATCTTTATGGCAATGCCCCACTCCTACATACCAATTTTTTGTGTTAGTCCGTTCTCACGTTGCTAGTAAAGAACTACCTGAGACTGGGTAATATATAAGGAAAAGAGGTTTAATTGGCTCACAGTTCCACAGGCTGTACAGGAAGCATTGCTGGGGAGGCCTCGCGAAACTTTCAATCATGGCAGAAGGCAAAGGAGAAGCAGGCATGCCTTACGTGGTTGGAGAAGGAGGAAGAGAGCAAAGGGGAAGATGCCACATACTTTTAAACATTCAGGTCTTGTGAGTATTCACTCACTATCACAAGAACAGCAAGGGGGAAATCTGCCTCCATGATGCAGTCACCTCCCACCAGGCCCCTCCTCCAACACTGGGGATTACAGTTCAACATGAGATTTGGGTGGGGACAGAAATCCAAACCATACCAAGCAGTTTTGCTGAAATCGAATATAACTCAAAGACCTTTTCTGATTGTTTTTAATCAAGGAAGTCAATGCTTTTCTTCTTGTCATTAAATGTGGTACCTTATTTTCATCTTATAATGAGTCCGTGTAGTGCATTTAGTAGATGAGTTTGGGTTATGAGGGGTTGTAATTTAAGACCTCCTCTGTTCACATCTCCAAGAAATTACATTAAGTTTCAAAACTTTATACTTGCCCTTAATTCTTGTGCCTTTCTGATTAAGATCTTCCTTGTTTTTTAGTTTAATGGTGTGAAAATTCTAAAAAGCTCAGTCTTTGGTAATCAGTAGATAAAGAAACTGACAGAAAACTTAATGCATTAACCTGATACTTCTTTTCTTTCCACAAAAAATTGAAATGTTATAATTGTCACAATTTCAACTTACTTGATTCTTTGTTATTAATACCTCTCTGTAAAAATGTGAAGTTCTGTTGACATTGTTGAGGTGAATGTCTTAAAAGTGTTGCCCTGATTTGCTGCCAAATGTCTTTTTCTGATTTATGCTCTGTGAGTACCAGCCTAGCTATGCATTAATGTGCTCTCTGTGAAATGCTTCTGCTTTTTGTACAAACTATTCTTAAGCTATGCTCACGGGAATGAAGGACAGGTTGTTTTATTTCAATAAGGTAAGAATGCTTTACATTTAAAGAAAGCTTCAAAAAACAACCTGTGTCAATTATACATTAAATATCAGGGGTTTGAAACCAGTTTTGAATATGTGACCAGAAAGGATGGTTTGACTTTTCAAAAGAATTTCCAATATCTTAAAACTTTAGAATTTATCTCGGGTTAGGTGGGCAATGTTTAGACTAAGTTGTTTCAATGCTTTCCAATAATACTTTTCATAAAATTTCACAGATTTAGGGTGGCTAGCTATTGCAGTAATACAGTCTTATAATAATTAACGACAGAATGTTAGAAGCAAATTGTGTGATTTGCATGACTTATGAAATGCAGATGGTGAGAAGTAGACTTGGAAGCTTTTTCAGGGTGCAGATGGACACAAGTTCTTCAGTGAAGTTAATTAAAAGTAATCATTGTATAGTAACCACTGTCTTGTAGGCTGCTAAGAAATTAGTATTCTACTTTCCCAAATGAAAATGCCAGATGATGCCTTTCCAGGCTGTGGGAAATATCTTTATCACCTGTAGTCATGTCAAAAGACGCATTCCTCTTCCCCTTTCTTCCTCCATCTCTAGATTTCATACAGATGAATAAAATTAAAGGGACAAATACTAGTAGGAAGCACTGTATATAGAAGACAATACAAATTATCTGTAGTACTAAGTTGGGATTGGAGGTTGTGGTCCATTCCACATCCTGTCCTGTATTTGTATGTGTGTTTAATTCATGTGTTTACTTCTCAAACCCTTTATTTTAAAATGGAGATAATTAAAATGTGTTTTATAGTGAATAGCTGAGGAATAATTAATATATAGTCCAGGCAGAAATGGAATAACATTCTGACATTGGCAAAAAAGAATTTATTACTGTACAGGATTTAAAATGATCTTAATGGAAAAGAATTTTTTAAGTATTCCAGTTTAGAAATAAATTACTAGATATAGCTCACATGTGTTTGCCTTATGATATGGCATGAAAATAAGATTATACTGATTTAAAAATGCATCTGGGTTATAGATTTCAGGTGGCTGGCTTTGTTTTGGGAACTCTTTCCCTTTTACTAACTTCTGTCATGTAGCCACTTCTTTTTCTAACAGCTGTATTGGAGTGTTTCTCTTCGAGTCAATGTTTTTACTTATTTGAGTCAAAAGACTACTTAACTAATTTTGCCTAGTTATTAGAATGGTATATTCCATTTTTCCTGCCAGGGAACTCAATACAAAGGTCCTAAAGCATTGTTGTTGATGGGTCCACCAAACCTGGCTAAGTCCTGAATCAGTATAGACCTCATCTCAGTAGTAAACCGTGTATATCACAGTCCCCTAGTACTTCTCAGCATTATTTTATCACAAAGTTTATGATTATTTAAATTTTATTTCTCAAATCTTGTCAGAAGATTGGAATGTAAGAGTTTTATTATAAAAGGTTTATTATTATACATAGTGATCAAAATTATTATTAAACACTGAATCTGTGCAATGAAAATGATAGGTACTTAGCACTAGAGCTCCATTTAAGTGACAGAAATGTATTGACTTTTCATAGGAAAAACAGGCAATTGTAAGAAACAAATGAACCAATTCGTTTCAGCTTGGATCACTGAAAACAAGAGAGAATCATTGGCAAAACAATGCCTTCTCATTCATGTGTCACAAGTGGTACTTGGATTGAGGACAATTGAGAAGCATTAAGACTGCAAATTAGTTCCCAAGTTGTGTAGAATAGTTGTTTGAAAGTGTACTTTCCCAAAGCTCCTATGCCAGCTTTTAATTTTCTTATTACCAGCAGTTTTGTTTTTCTTAGGTTTTACATTTTGGTCTGCATTTGTGTTTTCCTTATAAAAATGCTCTATATATCCAACTAGTACATCTTGTGTAAATGATGTCAACTCATATATAAGACTTCATTTTGAGGAATTTTAAAAATACACAAATTTATTAAGAGCTTTCTTTTAATCCGTATAATAGTGTAACAATGTTGACCTTAAAGCTTTTCAGAAATATTCACCATGATTTTGTTATTACTACTTCTTCAATCTTTTTGATATTGACATGTTTCTAAACGACAGTGGATAGTAAGATGTCAGATTTTATACTTTCATTCAAACTTTGAAGACCATTTGGATTTTTTGGGATGATCGGCTCTGAGCCATTCATAACTCATTTGTTAAAAACACATAAGTCTTCGAGTAAATGAATGCCTTGAAAAAAAAAAGAGATCATGTGGTTGAGACAGCTTTACTTCTGTCAGGGTTACCTATGGTAGGGCAAATTATTTGGGTTTCTGGTTTTCTTTCCTATAAAAGAAAGTTGGATGATATGATCTTAAAAGCTGTAAGATTTGGTGATTATAAGCTTTTAAATTCATGTTCATACTTGGTTTATAAGTGATGAATGATAAACATTCTTGATTTTCTTTACATCTACTTTTATGACCACCAGTGACAGTTGGGCCCTCTGAATTTTTCAGTTTAAGTTTTTTTCTACCCAGTAATTAAATGCCAAACACGAAACTGTATGTGCTTTACACAAAGATTTGCTATGTAACAAAAGTGGAAGATGTATTTTTTATGTTTTAGGTGGATTTGAATGCCCACAGATCTAGGCCACCAATGCCAGTTTACCTTTACAGATTCTGTTTGGCAAATTCCTAAGACATTAGGTTACAAATCTTTCTCCTTTCTCTTTTTTCTTTCTTTTTTCCTTTTTCTATATTCTTTCACCACTGAAAACTTTTAACAGTTACAGGTTAGCAAGCATATCATTGAGCAAATGCCCTCCAGCCTCTTGGAGAGTCTTAACTATTCACACTGTCTTCTCTGCCTGCCCCTTGGTAATATACAAAAAGTTTCAGGTGGCTGAAGCCCTAATATATTAAAAACAAAAATTTGAATTCTAAATACACCTGTAAGAGCAAGGAAAACATAAATTAGAATATGTGGTATATGTAAATTGATATGGAGTATCTGAAAAAAACAGTACTTTTTGTTCTTGGTGGTCATATTTAAATCATACTTTTAAAATCAAAAGTCTGTGTAATATGATAGTTCTGTAAGTTATATCTAGATGTCTGTGAATGCATCAAACAGATTTTTTTAATGCATGGAGTACAAGTACAACCTTTAAGTTCTTAGTGAAATTTATGCCTATTTTTATCAAACTTTAACATGTATGGTTTTATTATATTTAATGGGCAAATTTGAAGCACAAACTCAAATACAGTTCTTGTGTCCGTTATTGAAACACATCATCATTTAAAACAGTTTGTAACATTTTCTTTTATAAAAGAACATGCTCTATACACTGACACTCTTGTTCTCTGCACAATCTATGAGATGAATTGATAGCTAGAATGAGAACAAACTTTTAGAAATCTCTTGGCCCTATGCCCTCATGTTACTTGTAAGCATCTGAGCTCGGAGAGGTTAAATGACTTCTCTAAATTCATGTATCTTTCTAGTAGCAAAATTAGTATGGCAAATAACTCAGTATGAAAGCTCAGAAATAGTATGTTGCATAGATCTTTTCATTGTGAGGACATCCTCTATTAGAAACAAGAGAATGAGTTCTTTTGATCACTGGTGTCAAAGTTAGAACACGTCTTTATTAACACATGCAACAAACCTACTTCATAGAATAATCCCCTCATTAGAAATGTTTGTTTTAGATTTCATTTTATCATAACTGAATGTAAGATTCTGAAATGCCAAACCCCATTTATAGTTAAAATGCTATTAACTGCTAGAAAATCTTCTCCTGATGGTCTTCTAATCTCTGTGGGCTATGACTCAATGATTTTAAATCTCATTTTCTAAAGCTTTGCAGATTGTTAACGCAGTCCAGTGCAACAGGATTAAACACAAATCTGAACACACCGTACTTTTTGAGGTCCGTTTAGAGCTGAATAAGTGGTTTGCTGTGCTGAATAATTTATTGTAATTCACTTTAATAATTTTCCATTTTAATTATGAGCAATATACATGCACCTAAAACTCTTAAGTGTGAATTTTTTGACACTTTAACCCTTAGCTGTCTATATTATTTAAGTAACCTCATTCACACTACTGGAATTAATATATTAGAATAAATTGGTCCCTTGTGTTTTATAATACAAGTAGCTGTCTATGATACACCAAAAAAGTACATTTGATACCACATGTTCTCACTCATATGTGGGAGCTAAAAAAATTGAATACATTTAAGTAGTGAGTAGAATTGTGGTTACTAGAGGATGGGAAGGGGAGTGGGGATGGGGAATTGGGATAGGGGTTTGGGAGAGGTTGGTTAATGGATACAAAATTACAGTCAGATGGGAGGAATAAGTTCTAGTTTTCTGTAGTACTGTAGGGTAACTATAGTTAACAATAATTTATGTTTTCAAATAGCTAGAAGAGAGGATTTTGAATGGTCCCAACACAAAGAAATGATAAACGTTTAAGGTGATAAATATGCTAATTACCCTGATTTGATCATTACATTGTATACACATATCGAAATATCACTCTGTAGCCCATAAATATGCACAATTATTACATGTCAATTTAAAAAGTGCATTTTGAAAGATCAAGGCTGCTGAATTATTTTAAAATTTATTCAGAAAGCTTATTGATTTTGATGTCCTCCTTTTGTACCTATTGTATATATTACTTACTTCTATATAGTAGACTTTATATCATTTAAACTGTTCTGATTTCTGTCTCTTTCCAAGATTCCGACATCCTAGTGTTATAAAGCCTCAACAATTGGAATCTCAGGTTTTACAAAAATATTTGTTTAAAATGAGAGTAATTATAGCAGTGTGATATCTGCATTTATCAGTGCTTTGATAAGGTGTGTACATTGTATGCATCATAGTGAAATTTCTGGTAATTATTTTAATAACTAAAAGTATTTAACAAAATGGAAACAAATACATTAATAGATTTTTCAAATTTAATATTTATATAGGTCTCTTGTACTATGTGTGCTGTCAAGTATTCAATAAGTGAAAATATAAAATACTTTTTTTCACCACTATAATGTCATTGTATGATTTTTATTCTACATATTTCTCTAATGGTACTTGCTATCTTTTACAAACTACTTCTGTTGCATGTTAATTTTTAGGTATTGTATTTTTCAAGATTTATCATCTTTTAAGGAAGGCAAAAACATGTAACTTAATCACTTGAAAGTGAACTGTGTCATTATGCACATTTTCTGATAGCTGCTGTCAAAGATAAAATAACACTTCCTGCCACCATAAGAAGTGTGGTCACCTCAGGACAGCACTGAGTCATACATCTGGGGCCAGTAGGAAAAGTTAGCATCATTGGCAGCCGCCTGGGCTCTTCATGTTCCATGGAAAATGGCACACTGGCGCATAGTGTAACTTAAATATTTCTCAAATGCCTAACTCCTTGGAAAAATTAATGTTAAGTAGTATAAAAACTGAAATCTATGACTTTATATTGAACCAGCGGTTTTGAGTTCTTAATTTAATTATGCTTGTTCCACCCATTTGTAATTCTGATTTAGTTTAACTAAATTTAAATTATAACTTGATATGTTAAAATGAAAGCACCTTGTATAGTAAAGAACTTAAGAATTGAGTCGTTACTGTATTTTTTTTTTTAATGCGTTAACCACTCTCAACCTAGGTAGCACTGGAATATGACCCTTAATGTTTTTTCCTGTCTTTGTAAGATACTGCTGTTAAAATTTAACTTAGATCTCTGCTGGACTTGGAATCTATATGTATATCTAAAGTATTTATGCAATTATACAGACCAGTAATACAATATTAGAAAACTTGGTTGATTACCCTTCATAAATACCAGTAGAATTTGGAAGTACAGAAACTGCCCACCTCCATCCAGTCAAATAAATAACCTGAAAGCATAAACGCTGTTTAGAAGTGTTTTCTTAATATGACTTCAACATACTTAAAATAAGTACCTATAAAAAACAAAATCTTTAATCCAATGGCTACTTTCTGAGTATATATTATCAGGTTATACCTTATAGGTATTTTTTATATGGAAGTAACTTGCATATCCTTCAAATGAAAGGAAATTTATTTTACAGTCAGTAGTCCCTCTATCTTTGTAGTCTTACTTGAAACACATAGTTTACTAATTATAACAGTGCTAATTCTGTATGTTTGGGTAATATTTTTATTTGTATGTGAGTTAGTTTTTTAATAGTAAAATAAAACATGTTGCTACGTACTTAGATGTTTTAAAAATTTTCTCTAAACGTTTAATCCATTATAAAAACCTCTTAGGATAGTGCAGTTATTCTTTTCATTAGGGGATCAGAATAACCCCATTCTAAGTTTTGTCAGAATCTTTAAGTCACATTAACTTGTACTTCCAAAGAATAGGCCTGTCAGGGCTGTCTACCGTGACTATTGTATAACTAACTACCACCAGCATACATCGTCACTACATTACAGTGTGGAAAAGTGTGGCCTTTGAAGCCAAATACACCTATATTTAAATGCCAGCTTTGCTATTTATTGGCTGTATGAATTTTGGTATATAATAACCTCTTTGAGTTATTCAATTTTCTCATTTTTAAAATGAAGAAATAACACCTACCTCAAAGAGTACTGAGGTTTAAATGACGTAGTCTATGTAAAAGATGTACTAAGTCACTGGCACTTAGTACATTCTAGTTCAGTGTTGGCTATTATTAGTACCACCACCACCTATAAAGAAGAGTTGTAGTCAGGGGGTGATAATATATGCAAAGATCATAGTAGAAGCTAATTATTGTTACAACCAGGCATCATGCCAGTAACCTGCAATTAATTAATACTGTAATTGAAGTTCAATGAAATAATGTATTTTTGAGGCATTCCAATTTAATTTCACTGAAATTACATAACGAAATTAGAGAAAAATAAAAGATTACCGAGAAAATGTATATAGAAATAAAGAGCCCAAGAATGGGCAGCTGAACTCAACATGGCCTGCTCATACAAAAATTTCTGATTGTAGAGTGCTTTGTCTTAATATACTTGGATGCCCCATTCTGATCATTAAAAAAAGTCATACTTCTGAAATGTAGAACTCCACATAATTTCCATTTGGTTATACATGATATTTTATTAGGACTTAGCAGTATCTGAATTTCTGAAGACTTTAAGAATAGTATTTGGCACATGGGCACAATAAATATTTCTCAAATGAATAAATGAAGGAAATCACCCTAGTTAATAAAACTTGATCTCAGGCAACTGCTACTACTCTTAAACTTTTGTGTCATATGTAAATTTAGGGGCACGGCCAGAAATATTGTAGGTCTCCTTTTTTTTCCTCTTCCTCCTTTTCAAGACCTAAGAAAGATACATTTTATTTAAGATCAGATATTTCCTTTTTATATGTTTGTATAGATTAAACATTTCTATTGAAAACTGTTCTATGAACAAAAAGTTCATAGGTTGTTGCCTGAATGAAAAACCAAATCAAAATATATAGAGAAAATATTTTTCAATGAATAAAATGCCTTAATTCTTTTTGGACAAACTTGCCTAAATTTAGAGGTTTCATTATGTGTGGGCTGAAAGGGCAGATGAAAGATCACATTTTAAAATTTTATGTTTCAATGACTCCTTTCTTTCTTACTTCCTTACAAGTGTTTTGCAGTGCTAGAAGTATGCAAGTAGAGTTTTAAAAGATTTTAGTCCTTTTTAGCTTTGAAGTCCAGGAATTTAAACTATACCTTGTTCAAGCTTGTTCCTTTTGGCCAAGATATATCTTTGCTGAACAATGATTTGTTAAAATAGGATTTCTATTATAAGCCAGGATGTCAGCAATACTAATAGTATTAGAATGAATGAGCTTAGAAAACTGGGTTAAGAAATGATCAGGAAGAAAGTAAGGAGGTTGGATAGTCCACTATAAATAATATTAAAATAGCTGAAAATTTTCTGTAAGGGTAGATAGCAACCTTTTGACTTTTTAATGTTATGTGGTTAAAAAAAATCGTGTATTTTAAAATTGGAAATAATATGGGTTTGTATTTCTTGATCATTATCTAAATCTACAAACATTTAACCAAAATGGTGATGGCATGAGCTACAAAGATCTGGCTCTAAAATAATTTATTTTGGCCTTTTTCAAAACCGAACAAATATCACTTCTGGGTTCGTGGCACATCATTTTTCAATGGCCCATTTTTCCCCTTTCCTTTCATAATTATGTAGCCCTGGAGTGAGAGTAGGTATGTGTATACATGTGCACCTATGTGCCTATTTCAGTAGTGTACTAAGTCCTGTCTAGAGTAGAGAAACCTATATAACATACAGCAATCCCTATCTTTTGGTTAATTTCATTTTAAGAATCGGTCAGAGCAAACATTTTCTTTTTTACCACCTTTGTTTTTAGATCACTGCACAGCTCATTCTGGAAGGAACAAAGAAACAGAAATAGCATAGTCTTTGATCCTGGGAAACTTCTAATGTACAATAAATGTAAAACTAGATATTTGTACAAACAGTAACCATTCATGCTGTGCCTATTAAGTGTCAGCCACTTTTCATACTGACTTGATTTGGACATTGCAGCAGCATCTCTAGGTTAGATGTTATTAACCAATTTTAAAGATGAAACAGATTAAAAGGACTTACTAGTAAATGACAGATTCAAAACTCAGAACCCAGGGTCCTCTGAATCAATAGACCATGCATTTTCTCTCAAACATATGGTCTCTCAAATTAAATAAGAACACCTACCCAATAGTGACCCTTATTTTTCTCTAGTTCATCTTACCTGAGTTCAAAGAAGTGCTTTTCTACTGATCAAAAAAGGATAAAAACAGGGTTGCCACATCCATACATGGTTGTGTAGGTTAGCAGTACATAACCTGCACAACTCTATATTGTGTCATTGGATAAGTAAGGACATAGAGTTGCAAACCTAGGGCAAGTAAAAGGAATCTTTATAACACCCCTATTTTTGTTTATTCAATAGAATTTGGAAAATTAGAATAAATTAATATTTTTAAATGATTTTTAAATTTTCATATTTAGGTAATGCAAATGTTTATGCTGAAGACTATATTTGAAGTTATGAACAACTTAGGTTTAATATTTTAAAACAGTATGTTTGTATGATTTTTTCATTTTTAATCTAGCAACTAATATGAAATTTTAGTGGCAAATGAGCACATAGATTATATTACAACATTTTACAAATAAAAATACATTTTTAGTATCTTAGAACGTGAAACTAGTTGACATTTAATTAGCTCCTATTTATGCTAAAAGAGAGGATAATGCTAAAATAGTAAATAAATATTTTTATATTTATTTGACATAATTTTTTGTGCCTGGTTTACCGTCTTAATTATGTTTAGGACATAATTCTTAAATTGATCTGTTGAATCCTTAAGCTCATGATTGAGGCAAACCTATTAACAAGTTCATCAAACCTGTGAACAGGAAGAGCCAGGAAAACACTGAAAAACTATAAGGGAAGATTAACTTTACCAGACATTAAAATATTATAAAACCTCTATCATAAAAACAGTATGGTGCTGGCCCATGCATAGACAGATATACCAGTGGAATAGAATAGAAAGCCTAGAACTAGATCCTGGCACATATAGAAATTTACTATATGATAAAGGTTGCATCTCAGATCATTGGGGAAAAGATGTTTGTCCATTGCCATTTGGAAAGAGAGACAGTTAAATACCTTGCAGCTTACACAAGAATAGCCTCCAAGTGGATTAGGTATCTAAGTGTAAAAATTGAAGCCACAAAAGTACTAAAAAACCCAAGATTTTTACATTGGTATGTATTTCTAGGGAAAATTTCACATACAATAGGAAAATTTTCTTCTAACATGGCAGACTCTCCCCCACCTCATTTTGCAGATGTGATTATTTGCAGGTAACAGGCATAGGGGAAATCAGTTCTCCCTCAGTATTCACAATCTTGTCACCAGCTACATGTATTCTCTTTAAAACATCACTGGCAAAATTATAAATTTATGCTGTTATTACCTTTTAAGAGTAGACTCACTCCTAATTACCATGATTTGTTTATATACATTAACAAACAGTTCTACCCTAAATTTTATCATACGAACTTTAGTGTCAATTAGTCTAACTTCATAAAATATCAAAGGTAACTCCGATTTCATGACGGTGAGATATGGAAAGTATGTTAAATTCTACTGTGACTATGACTGATGATCGTAAAGTTTAGTTATAGAGAGAAAAGAGTTAATTGGTGATTCTTCACTAAATGTAAGTTTCAGAAGGAAAAGATCTTACATAAAATTTATAGAAACCCACAAAAGTTAACTTTAAATCTATATTGAATTTTAAAATAAAGCAGAAAGGATGCTCATTATGCCAGCATGTATTAAATACCTTCTGTGAACTAGGTTCTATTCTGATAATACAAAAATGGCATTTAGTCCCATAGCTGGTCTTACTATTAATAAGTATCTGATAATTAAATGCAGAATCTTACCCTAAATAAGGGTTATTGACTCCAATGTGTAAGTTTCTGTTCTTTATACAGCTGCTATGTTATATTTCATGTATACCACATGCTACTTGGCAGAACAAAGGGTAAACTACAGTACATTTTAAGTAACTACTTCCAAAAAATAGCATTGTATAGCAAACAGTTCCACATGGGATCTTTCATTGCAGCTTCTATTTTCATAAATAGAAACATGCAGCAATATGTAGCTAAGTAAACAAAATTGCAAGAATAGCTTAATTAGTTGAAAGATCCAGTGTACCTAATCACTTACCTTTCATAGAATTTGCTTTGAAGAAAAAAAATAGCCTATTCTGGGATCCATAGAGGAGAGATGCAAGATGCTTCTATAAGAAACAGTGGCTCACTAAAGCCTAACTTCTTAAGGAGTAAAGCAGGAGAAAGGGGGATGATGAGATTTTATCAGAAGCTAGGGTTTATGTGTGTACAGTTTTTAAAAAGTCCCCTAAGTGTCTTTTAACAGGACGATATTTAAAATTTAATGTTCTGTCTGTCATTTTTTCCCTTTTGTGGCTACTCGTTGTATCTTGCTTGGGAAGACATTTTCCATCCCTATATTATATAAATCTTTTCCTGTATATTGTCCCAATATATTCATTTCTTAAAACCTTTAGTTAGCTTTTTATTATGTAATTTAAAAAAATGTGCAGTATATTCTGGCCAGGCATGGTGGCTCACACCTGTAACCCTAGCACTTTGGGAGGCTGAGGCGGGCGGATCATTTGAAGTCAGGAGTTTGAGACCAGCCTGGCCAAAATGGTGAAACCCTGTCTCTACTGAAAATACAAAAACTAGTCGGGCATGGTGATGCGTGTCTGTAATCCCAGCTGCTTGGGAGGCTGAGGCAGGAGAATCTCCTTAAGCCGGGAGTCAGAGGTTGGAGTGAGCCAAGAGTGTGCCACTGTACTCCAGCCTGGGAAACAAGAGCAAAACTCTGTCTCAAAAAAAAAAAAAAAAAAAAAAAGTACAATATAAAGTAGAGGATCTGACATTACTTTTTTCCCAGATGGAGAGCCAGGCGTTCTAACACAACTTATGGGGTAATTTTCCCCTCACTTATTTGAAATGCTAACTTTATAAAAAATCAAAATGATAAACCTCAATTATGTAAACTAAAATACAAATGCATAGGTCTGTTTCTGGATTCTTCCTTTTTGGATATATTTATCCATTTTCTATTTCATTGGAATTTTGAATTATTGTTACTTTATAGAATGTTTGCTATCTGAATGGCAAGTTTCCTCACCCCCATGTTTTACTTTTTCAAATATTTCTTGATTACTGCCCATTTTTCCTTTCATGTGGAATTTAGGTTCAGTTTGTCAAGGCTCACACAAAAATAATCTCATTAGGATCTTGACTAGGATTTCATTGAATTTATAGGTTAATTTAGAGAAAATTAATATCCATATACTATTGGGCATTCTTATCCAGGAATGTGCTATACTTTCTTACTTATTTGGATCTTCTTTTATATCCTTCAGTGGAATTTGATAGCTTTTTAAAAAATAAATGTCATCTACATTTCTCTTTAGGTTTATTCCTAGTTTATTGGTTTTTTACCTATTGTGAATAGAATTTTTTTCATTACATTTTCTAATTGGCTTTGCTGAGTATGGGGAAGTTATTGAATACTGCTCTTGTATTTGACTACCTTAATAAACTTGCTTATTGTTCTGTGTTTTTCAGTTGATTTTCTTGGTAAATTTTCTTTGGTTGATTTTCTTGGTATTTCTAAGTAAATAATATTATGCATATGTTGATAGTTTTTTATCATCTAATATCCATAATTCTTTTTCTTCCCTGTCTGCGTTTGCTAGGACCACTGCTCAATGTTGAATATTCTTGATCTTTAGTTAGTAAGAATGCTGCTTGAGTTTCACTATTATATTGATTATGATGATTTTGAATTGTTCTAAATGTGCTCTGCATTTGACAAGGTCTGGTTAATTGATATATTAACTTTCAAATTTGTAATTAAGTTTTATAATTAAAAATAAATATATTTATATAAAATCCTAACGGTTCAGAAAAGTTAGTTTTAGGAAATGATCATTCATGATTCCTGAGGCTTAAGGGTTTAGCTTGCTGTGTAGATTCTACATAGCAGAGTAGCGTGTAGATTCTACATAGCAGAGTAGCATATAGACTCTACAGAGCAGGCCCAGGGTCCCCAGCCCTTGGGCTATGAAACTGTACTGGTTCATGGCCTGTTAGGAAAATGGGCGGCACAGCAGGAGGTGTGTGGCTGATGAACGAGCACTACAGTCTGAGTTCTGCCTCCTATCAGATGACCGGTGCCATTTTAGATTCTCATAGGAATGCACACTGTGTTGTGCACTGAGCATGTGAGGGATCTAGGTTGTGCACTTCTTATGAGAATATAATGCCTGATGATCTGAGGTGGAACAGTTTCATCCTGAAACCATCCCCCCATTGCCCACAGAAAAAGTATCTTCCACAAAGCCGGTCCCTGGGGCCAAAAAGGTTGGGGACTACTGATGTAGAGGATGAGTTTTCATCTTTTATTTGAACTTGGTGACTTAGTTTACCAAGTAACTTGCTTTCAGATCTTGTAATAAAAATGTAGTTTTAGCCATAAAACATCTAATTCTGTTTTGAGCTGGTAGCAGTTTATATATATATGTACTGATGATATGATTAACATTTTTATTGAACTGCTCAGGAGTCTAACTATGTATCTCCATTATTTAGAAATTTTCTGAAAACTGTTTCATGCATTCCTTTGGAAATTCATAAAGTAAGCTTCTGAGAATAAAGAAATTGAGAGATATGACCACTGGACCACTCCTAGCTGGGCCAAAAAGTATTCCATAAAGTTTATGATCTCCCCTCTCCATTCCTTTCTGTCAAGATCAGAAGAGGTAGGAGTAGGGGAGTCAATATCATGTCTCTTTAGTTTGTAGAAATCATGATTTGAAATACAAGTTTGTAATTTTCTTGAGGTCTTCTGAATATTAATCCTGTTGCCAAATCACAGATCACTTTCCCTGTACATATTTAAAGGAAATATTTTTATTTCGTTAGCTAATGTAAGTCCTGTTTTTTAAAAAACGAAAGTTGTTCTTTATGCTGTCTTCTTTTTTTCTTAACAATTAAACCATGAAACAACCATAAGTTGAAAAGTTTCATTGATTCTGCTCCTCATTGTAACAGTTGGTGATTTGGTGGCATTAGTAGGTCATAGTCATAGAGTAACAGTACTCTTCTCCAATTTGACAGACTAGGTTAAGGCTTTTGGTTTTGGAATATAGATTAGAACTATATTATTTCTAAAATAAATCTTAATGCTGTAAGATGTTTGGAAGCAAATATAAAACTGTAGTTAATGTTGCACTCAGGAATTATTAGAAGGTTGAAGTGAAGGACAAAAGAAATAAATTTTATTACAGAAAACATGTCTCCTAATTAAGTATTCATTAACTGCCCAAAGTTGAACTTGTTAACCTCAAGGTTGGAATATACTCTATGTGTTGGAGAATAGATGCCATAGTAGAACCTTTGGTAGTTAAGACAGATGTACCTGGGCTATATTTCTTCCAGAGAATACTAGTTTCTCAAGATCAGCTATTCTGTTTCCTATGCTATGCTTTTTATTATTCTCTAGTTTCTTTTTCTTTTTCTATTGTGTTCTCACAAGATTATCAAGAACCCCTCACCCCCTCCTATTCAAGCAGAAATTTTGGTTGTTTTTCCCTCCTTCTTGGCAAGATTTGGGATTGTCATGAAAAGTAATGAAATCAGCTCTTTTATATATAAAATTTTCCATGGATGACATGACTCAGTTTTGAATAGAAATGCAAGGTTCCATTTTGAATTCTTTACCTTTTTTGGATTATAGCACTGCTAGGTCAAGATCAGAGCGCTTTGTTCATAAGTAAAGTGTATAAAACGTAACAGGAACTTAAAGTTTCCTTTATCATTATTGAATGAATCACACACTTCTTAAATTTTTAATCTGTGGTGCTATAACCAAAAGAACATGTTTCCTGGGAGGCTGCTGACAATAAAAAGTAATTGTAGATTTTCTTATGTTGTTACATATTTTAGTATATTTCTTATTTTCTTTTTTAAAATAAAAAGTTCTTATTCACTCTAGGATCCTTAGAAATTTTTTCCATTTCTAGAAAAATATCTTGAATTCAGTAGCCTGCTGTTTAAAGTTATCATGAGTAGTGAACTGTTGCCTTTGGGAAAGGAGCATTTTGATCCAACTATGCATTTTAAATAGAAAGATAATATTCATCTTTCCCATATACATTAATTTAGAAATGTCTACCAATATTTTCTATACCTTTCACAATGATTATTTGCAATTCTTATCAACATTAGCTTTTACTTTTTATATTTATAATATTTGCAATATATAGTGCAGGAAATTCCCATTAACCTGTGGCTACTCAGGATGACTCTCACTGAGTTGTTGGTTTCTTTCACAGGTTGATTTACAGCTGTCTTGAGTATAATTCTGTGTAGCAGGCAATGGTAGTGTATTTATATGTATACAGATCTTGCATCCATCAGGTTCTTCTCATTGAAACACACCAGCGGAGAGCTTACTAAAAGATTGTTTGCACAGCTGCTTTCAGGCAGTGACCAAAATTTCCTAGGAAAGTGAGTGAAAATACACTTGTTGAGCCAAGCTCAGAAGTTTCTTGGATAGTGCTTTACATAATATAAAGTCATTACATGTGTTGGATCTTTGCCCTTATCTAACCTCCCCCAACCTCCACTCCACTCCACTCCACGTTCTTTTTTGTCTTGCTTAGTCTCCTTTCCCTAGGAGAAGAGCTTTTGTTTACCCTTTTATGTCTTGTGAAGTCACTAAAAAAGATTTGTCTTCTCATATGACATCAGTATCTAAGGACCTTCAATTACATATCATGTTAGTTTTTTTTTAATTCTGAGACCTAAGTGAAGATGATGTCCATATATTTTTGTCCTCTTATAGACTCCTATCTATGAAACTAGGTTTTTCAGCAGTAATGTAATCACAGGAGAATCGTAAGAACATTAAGCTCCTTTAACTGTTGGGTTGCCAACAATATGAATGTGGTGTTAAATCATGTCTTGGACTTTACAAATATCATCTAAAAGTTAGTTCTTAAATTCCTGGCAAGGAATTTACACTGTGCTAAGAAACAGATGTTATGGAGATTAATTTGTGACTGGAGAAGAAATGTCTCTGTGGTAAGAGATGAGTACAGGTTCTGGGCAATCCATTTGACTTTTAAATGTAAGAATGGAATTCCAAACACTTAACACATTCAGCTATATGACAGAAAGTAAATCTATGGATATGGTATTTTGTGAATGATCTTTTAAATAAAAGAAAACCTTACATAAAAAATGAAAAAATTATATATATATATATATATATATATATATATATATATATATATATATATATGTCTGTCAGACTGTTTCTTAGTCACAGTATTAGTCAAGGTTTGCTATCCACTCTCCCCACCATCCTGATTCAAATGCATCTGCAGAAGTTTTTGCTCCTTCCTTTCTGAGTTTCAGGTATTTCTTCTGATTCCTATCCACTTGTAAAATTTGGAGTCTAGAGGGAACCAAGGGAAAGCAGTGATTACAACTGACATCTTCCAGTTTGATTGGTGAAAGGAGAAACCTCACTTCCTTAATGAACATTGATCATAGTAAAATGCTGTCATAACTCAGGAGAATTTTGCTAAGCAGAGAGGAATTACAAAAAATATTAGAATACATATTTTCAGAGTTCTTTGAGAAATATTTGATAAGGAACATGAACTTGTTTGTGGTTTCTTTTTTGATAGAGCTTCTGCAACATTCTTTTAGAATTAATAACAGTATTGTGAAGGTTGAGGCTAATTTTTCGTTTAGCCTGGTGAATTTCTCCACAGGCTTCACTTTTGGGAAAATAAGGAAGTTCTCTAAGTATCCATAAAACATGAAATTAGGGATTTATTCAAATAAACATAATTAAAATTATTTTGGAATAGACTTTTTCTCTCCATTTAGTTGTAATAATTTGTCTAGCTTACAGTTCCTTTGTTGTCTATAGATGTCTGAGAAATATTTGTTAATTCTTGGGTATCATTATATATTTTCTAATTGGGGCTGGCAATTACAAAAACGGCATAGCTAAATAATCTAGAAACATAAGCCTAATTGTGTCTGTGTGTGTGTGTGTGTGTGTGTGTGTGTGTGTATAACCAATTATCATTATTGTCCTATTTGATGACTTCATCACTTATTGAAAAAAATCAAGTCTCTTTTTGCCTTTGACAAGTGTTGCTCTAGTAATGTGAATATTTTGGAGCTTGTTAGAAATACAAAATCTCAGGCCACACTCCAACTAAATCAAAATTTACTACAGTTTAATCAGATCCCCAGATGTTTTATATGCACATAAAATTTAAGAAGCAATGGAAAACTGACATTGTTTTGAGTAGTAATTAGAAATTTGTAATTAATTTATAATTTTAAAATAAAATTGGAATTATTTTGAGAAAGTCTTATAAATTTTAGGAGAATAAAACAGGGCCTTCAAAATAGGCTGTTTTCCTGGGTTAAGTAAAATTTACTTCATAGGTGAAAAGAAATTATTTGGCTTTTAATTTCATTATGCTATGTTACAAATTGATTCTGATATATAAAGCAAAACAAAAAATTGAGTATCACCACTTATATTATTTTTAGGAAACATGATCAGAAATGGCTGTTGTACGAATGTAGGATTCTTTTTATCCTAACATTAAATCCTTACTTGTGATAAGATACTAACATTCATAGCTTTATTTTAACTTTAATATTCAATAAAAGTAATGATAGTTTAGTGATTAGATGGAGAGTACATGTTGACTAAGTATTTCAGTTAGCCTAGTATTTTAGAACACGTTTTAAGAGTCAAAAAATTCTAAAGCACCAAAGGATTGTGTGTGTGTGTGTGTGTGTGTGTGTTTGACTCTGTAAACTTATTGAGTAGTTAATAATGCTGACATTCATTTATAGTGGGCAAATGTGTGTTTGTGTGTGTGTGTTTGTGTGTGTGTGTGTGTGGATTTGAAATGATGAATAAGATTTGTTTTGTATTAGGGAAGGATCACAGGGGATATATTTAGATTAAGTTTAATAGTAGATGGTGCCCTTTGTTTCTGCAGTACTTTTATACTAAACTTTTCTTTTGTGGAGATTATTTCAGTCATATTTAATAAGATGCATATGTCTGAATTAATATGATCGGCTGTAACTTCTAATGGCAGTTTTTTTACCTCTATATTACTATACAGTTTTTTCTGGAATTACCACTTTTGAAGGTAATTTACCTTTTACCACATTTTTCTGTTGATTTTGAATTCTTTTTCAGGAGACAATGGATATAGTTCTAAATAATGTATGAAATAAGTTCTACTTGTAGATCTTTTCCTTAACTTCCCTTACTAAGAGGAGAGTAAGAGGAATTTTAGATAGGCGTAGAGGAATAAAATGGCCAAAGAAAGATCATGTGTAGAAAAGCTTCAACTTGCATAGCTAAAATAGCGAACCAAGTGGAGATGCCAAGCACGAAGATTACAACCAAAGATGATCCTTTCTGCGGCAAAAGGCAAACTGGCCACAAGTCACTGTTCTACACGTTGAAACCAGAGAAGAGTTTTTCAGAACGTGAGTCTGAACACAGCCTTCAGTCATGGTGGCCTTCTTTCAGTGCCTCATACTCTCACTCCTGTCTCCAAGCTGCTGAGTCCTTGCTGTTTTCAGGGTCTAATACTCTTTCCTCCCTCTTTGGCTAGTTAACTCCCAGTCATCTCTAGACCTCAGTTCTTGCCACACTTCTCCCAGAAAACTTACTCCTGATCTCTCTGACATGGTCAAATCACCATATTATGGGCTCCTGGAGCACCATGCCAGGTACCTTTACTTTCCTTCAATTACTTGTTAGGGTTGTTTGTGTGATTACTTACTTAACATGATTCTCTCTCAATAAACTATTACCTCAGTGAAAGCAGGGGCCATGTCCGTTTCTGCTCACTTTTCTTCTTTACTCCCTAGAATAATGCCTGGCTCAAAAATAGGCATTCAACAAATATTTGTTCAATTAATAAATAAAAGTTGGTATCAGGAATTAGAAAAGCAGTGAGATGAGCATCCTGATACTAGGGACAGGAAGGGAAGCATTCCTTAGGAAAATCATATAGAAGTCTGTGTTGTAGAAGAATAAAGAACAGGCAGTTATTGACTTTGGAACCTAGTTTAAATCTAAAAATATCAGGAGCATTAGGGAAGCCTGGGACTGAGATAAGCCAAGATTAGACGTGTCCTCAGAAGTAAAGTTGGATCAACAAGTTTGCCCTTTACAATGGCAAGTCTCCAGCATTGTTCTCATTACCACTTCCTCTTACCTCCCACCTGGAAGACTGTCTCCTCTTGCCCGTGGGCAAGTCCTCCTTGGAGAAGATAGTTTCTCCTGGCACCTTGGCAAAGATGACTGACTAATTCTTCATGACACGAATTACTTTAAAATTCATCTAGATGTCATTTAGATACAAAATTCTTTTTTCCCTTGATATTTCTAGTGTACAATTTTCAGCATGTCCTCACTCAATATTGCTTAGATATTAAATGGAAATATTTAAAAAGATAGCCGTGTTAAGTCCCATCATGATTAGGCAATTTTTTCATGGTGAATTAGGATTGGGTAAGACATCATACTGATGACTTCTATGTAGAATATGCTAAATTTAGCAAATCATTGCCACTAGTGGTTTCTTTGTATTCAATAGAAAAGAAAATTGTATATCTATTAGTGAAGTTTGATTACACATAGGTGGACATAGCATTCGTAATCAGATGTAAAATAGTAACTTACAGCTGTGGCTTTCACATACCCATATGCCTCCCAAAATGCTTAGGTCTAATTAAAATTTGAAAGGAGCAAATTTAGGCTATTTAAGGTTAATCTGTTGGTTAATTTGTACTTCTTATTATAGTAAAATATAGATAACATAAAATTTGCCATTTTAACCATTGCATTTTTAAGTGTAAAATGCACATATCATCAAACGTACTATCTTAACCATCTTTAAGTGTACAGTTCACTGGCATTAAGTACATTCACATTTTTGTGCTACTGACCTCAGCATCCATTCACAGAATTCTTTTCATCTTGCAAAACTGAAACTCTTTACTCATTAAACAACAATCCCTATTATTCCTCCCCTCAGCCTCTGGCAGCCCCATTCTACTTTCTGTCTCTGAATTTGACGACTGCATGACGACTGCATGCCTCATATAAGTGGAATCATACAGTATCTGTCCTTTTGTGAATGGCTTATTTCACTTAGCATAATGTCTTCAGGGTTGATCCATGCAGTACCATGTATCAGCACTTTCTTTTTAAGGCTGAATAAAAATGTATACACATTTTAAAATGTGTATACAACATTTAAAAAATATTTTTAATTTTTATGGGTACATAGTAGGTGTGTATATATGGGGTACATGAGATGTTTTGATACAGGCATGCAATGTGAAATAATCACATCATGGAGAATGGGGTATCCATCCTCTCAAGCATTTATCCTTTGTGTTACAAACAATATAACTATATTATTTTAGTTATATTAAAATGTACAATTAAATTATTCACTATAGTCAGTCGACTGAGTGACTCTACTATTTGCTGTCAAAAAGAATGAACTTATTCATTCTTTCTAAATATATTTTTGTAAGTATTAACCTTCTCCACCTTCCCCTCACCTCCCCACACCACTAGCCTTCCCTCCCTTTGGTAACCATCCTTCTACTCTGTTTAATTTTTAGATCCCACAAATAAGTGAGAACATTTGATATTTGTCTTTCTGTGCCTAGCTTATTTCACTTGACATAATGATCTCCAGTTCCAACCATGTCGTTGCAAATGACAGGATCTCATTCTTTTTTATGGCTGAATATTACTCCATTGTGTATATGTACCACATTTTCTTTATTCACCTGTTGATGGACACAAGTTGCTTCAAGATCTTGGCTATTGTGAACAGAACTGCAACAAACTGCAGAACTGCAACAAATCCCTATCAAAATACCAATGACATTCTTCACAGAAATAGAAAAAAAAAATCCTAAAATGCATATGGAACCACGAAAGACCCAGAATAGCCACTGGGTCTTCTGGGACCCAGTGCAGATATCTTACTGATATCCTGATTTCCTTTCTTTGGGGTGTATACCCAGCAGTAGGATTGCTGGATCATGTGGCAGCTCTGTTTTTAGTTTTTTGAGGAACCACTAAACTATTCTCCATAGTGGTTGTACTAATTTACATTCCCACCAACAGTATACGAGGGTTGCCTTTTCTCCACATCCTCACCAGGATTTGTTACTGCTTGTCTTTTGGATATAAGCCATTTTAACTGGGGTGAGATGCTATCTCATTGTAGTTTTTCTTTGCATTTCTGTGATGGTCAGTGACGCTGCATACCTTTTCATATACCTTATGGCCGTTTGTATGTCTTTTGAGAACTGCCTATTCAAATCTTTTGCCCATTTTTAACCAGATTATTAGATTTTTTTTTTTCCTATGGAGTTGTTTGAGCTCCTTACATATTCTGGTTGTTAATCCCTTGTCAGGTGGGTAGCTTGCAAATATGTTCTCCCATTTTGTGGGTTGTCTCTTCACTTTGTTGACTGTTTCCTTTGCTGTGCAGAAGCAAAGGACCCCATTTGTTCATTTTTGCTTTGGTTGCCTGTGATTGTGGGGTATTACTCAAGAAATCTTTGCCAAGACCAGTGTCCTGGAGAGCTTCTGCAATGTTTTCTGGTAGTAGTTTCATAGTTTGAGGTCTTTAAGTCTTTAATCAATTTTGAATTTTGTATATAGCAGGAGATACAGATCTAGTTTCTTTCTTCTGCCCATGGATATCCAGTTTTCCCATAACCATTTATTAAAGAGACTGGCCTTCTCCAGTGTATGTCCTTGGCACTTTTGTCGAAAATGAGTGCACTGTGGGTGTGTGGATTTTTTTCTGTGTACTCTGTTCTGTTCCACTGGTCTCTGTGTCTCTTTTTATGCCAGCACCATGCTGTCTTGTTTACTATACCTCAGTAGTATAATTTGAAGTCAGTTCTGTGATTCCTCCAGTTGTGTTCTTTTTGCTTAGGATAGCTTTGGCTATTCTGGGTCTTTTGTGATTCCATATACATTTTAGGATGGTCTTTTTTCTATTTCTGTGAAGAATGTCATTGGTATTTTGATAGGGATTGCATTGAATCTGTAGATTGCTTTGAGTAATATGGACATTTTAAAAAATATTCATTCTTCCAATCCATGAACATGAAATATCTTTCCATTTTTTGGTGGTTTCTTCCATTTCTTGCATCAGTGTTTTATAGTTTTCATTGTAGAGATCTTTCACTTCTTTGGTTAAGTTGATTCCTAGGTGTTTAACTTTATGTGGGGCTATTATAAATTAAATTACTTTATTTTCTCTTTCAGGTTGTTGACTGTTGGCATGTAGAAATGCTACTGATTTTTGTGTGTTAATTTTGTATCCTGTAACTTTACTGAATTTATCACTTCTAATAGTTCTTTTGTGGATTCTTTAGGTTTTTCTAAATATAAGATCATCTCATCAGCAAATAAGAATAATTTGACTTCTCATTGTTCAATTCCCACCTATGAGTGAGAACATGCGGTGTTTGGTTTTTTGTCCTTGTGATAGTTTGCTGAGAATGATGGTTTCCGAACACAGGAAGGGGAACATCACACACCAGGGCCTGTTGTGGGGTGGGGGGAGGGGGGAGGGATAGCATTAGGAGATATACCTAATGTAAATGACGAGTTAATGGGTGCAGCACACCAACATGGCACATGTATACATATGTAACAAACCTGCACGTTGTGCACATGTACCCTAGAACTTAAAGTATTATATATATATGATATGTATATACATATATACAATACATATATACATATATACACACACACACACACACACACACACACACACACACACATATATATATATATATGAAGAATAATTTGACTTCTTCCTTTCCAATTTGGATGCCATTTATTTATTTCTCTTGCCTGGCTGCTCTAGCTAGGACTTCCAGTACTATGTTGAATAACAGTGGTGGCAGTGGGCATCTTTGTCGTGTTCCAGATCTTGAAGGAAAGGCTTTCAGTTTTTCCCTATTCATTATGATACTAGCTGTGGGACTGCCATATATGGCATTTATTATGTTAAGGTATGTTCCTTCTATACTCAGTTTTTTGGGGGTTTTTATCATGAAGTGATGTTGAATTTTATTAAATGCTTTTTCAGCATCAAATGAAATGATCAGATGGTTTTTGTTCGTTATTCTGTAGATACGATGTACCACATTGATTGATTTGCATATGTTGAACAAGTCTTGCATCCCAGGGATAAATACTTGGTCATGATGAATGATCGTTTTAAAGTAATATTACTGTATTCAGTTGCTAGTATTTTGTTGAGGTTTTTTGCATCAATATTCATCAGATATATTGGCCTGTAGTTTTCTTTTTTCAATGTGTCTTTGGTTTTGGTATCAGGGTAATACTTGCCTCATGTAATGAGTTTGGCAGTATTCTCTTCTATTTTTCAGAATAGTTTGGGTCAGATTGGTATTAGTTCTCCTTTAAATATTTGGTAGAGTTCACCTGTGAAGCCATTAGCTCCCAGGCTTTTCTTTACTGTGAGACTTTTTATTATGGCTTCAATCTCCTTACTTGTTATTGGCCTATTCAAGTTTTGGATTTCTTTATGGTTCAATCTTGGTAGGTTGTTTTTGTCTAGAAATTTGCTCATTTCTTCAAGATTTTCCAGTTTATCAGCATGTAGTTTCTCATAGTAGCCACTAATGATCCTTTGAATTTCTGCAGTATCAAGTGTAATGTGTCCGTTTTTACCTCTGATTTTATTTATTTGGGTCGTCTTTCTTATTTTCTTAGTCTAGCCAAAGGTTTGTCAACTTTAACTTTTCAAAATGCGAATTTTTTGTTTTATTGCTCTTTTGTGTTGCTTCATTTCAATTTCATTTGTCTATGGTCTTATCTTTATTATCTCTTCCAGTATTTTGGTTTTGGTTTGCTCTCTTTTCTAGCTCTTTAAGATGCATTGTTAGGTTGTTTATTTGAAGTTTTTCTTCTTTTTTGAGGTAAGCACATATAACTATAAATTTCCCTCTTAGTACTGCTTTTGCTATATCCCATAGGTTTTTGTATGTTGTGTTTTCATTATCATTTGTTTCAAGAAAGTTTTCAATTTCCTTCCTAATTTCTTCATTGATCCACTTGTCATTTGGAAATGTATTGTTCAATTTTCATGTATTCGTGTAGTTTCCAAAATTCCTCTTGTCATCAATTTCTAGTTTTATTCTTTTGTAGTCAGAGAAGATGCTTGAGAGGATTTTAGTTTTTTTGAATGTTTTAAGGCTTGTTTTGTAACCTAACATGGTCTGTCTTTGAGAATGATCCATTTGCTGAGGAAAAGAATGCGTATTCTGCAGTCTTTGGATGAAATATTCTATACATGTCTGTTAGGTCCATTTGTTCTATAGTGTAGATAAACTCCAACGTTTCTTGGTTAATTTCTGTCTGGAATATCTGTCAAATGCTGAAAGTGGGGTGTTGAAGTCTCCAGCTATTATTATATTGGGGGTTCTCTCTCTCTTTAGCTTCATTTGATATTTGCTTTATATATTTGAGTTCTCCAGTGCTGTTTGCATATATATTTGAAATTCTCTTGTTGAATTGGCCCCTTTATCATTCTATTATTTTGCCTCTTTTTATAGATTTTGTCTTGAAATCTATTTTTCCTGATATGAGTATAGCTACTCCTGCTCTTTTTGGGTTTCCATTGGCTTGGAATATCTTTTCCATTCCTTTACTTTCAGTCTATGTGTGTCTTTATAGGTGAAGTTTCTTATAGGCAACAAATCACTGTGTTTTGTTTTGTTTTGTTTTTAAATTTATGCAGCCACTCTATGACTTTTTATTGGAGAGTTTAGTCCATTTGTATTCAGTGTTACTGTTGATAAGTAAAGACTTCCTCCTGCCATTTTGTTATTTGTTTTCTGGTTGTTTTATGGTCTCTTCCTTCTTTCTTTCTTTCTGTTCTATCTTCCTTTTAGTGAAAGTGATTTTCTCTGTTGAAATGATTTAGTTTCTTGGTTTGAGGTTCCCATGAGCCTTGCAAATACTATCTTAATAACCATTATTTTAAGCTGATGAGAACTTAACACTGTTTGCACTAACAAACAAACAAGCAAAAAGAAAAGTAATAAAAACTCTATGCCTCAACTTCATACTCCCACTATTTAACTTTTTGTTGTTTCTATTTAGATCTTATTGTACTGTCTATGTCTTGAAAAGCTGTTGTAGTTATTATTTTTGATTGGTTCATTGTTTAGTCTTTCTGCTTAGGATAAAAGGAATTTACACGCCACAATTACAGTGTTGGTATAATATTCTGTGTTTTTTTTGTGTGGTTACTATTGCCAGTAAGTTTTTTACCTTTAGATGACTAGTTATTGCTCATAAATGTCCTTTTCTTTCTGATTGAAGTACTTCCTTTAGCATTTCTTGCAGGACAGGTCTCATGTTGAGGAAATTCCACAGCTTTTGTTTGGAAAAGTCTTTATTTCTCCCTCATGTTTGAAGAATATTTTTGCTGTTTATACTCTTCTAGGGTAAAAGTTTTTTCCTTCATCACTTTAAATATGTCATGCCACTCTCTGCTGGCCTATAAGTTTTCCACCGAAAACTCTGTCATCAGATCTATTGGAGCTCCATTGTATGTTGTTTGTTTGTGTTCTCTTGTTGCTTTGAGGATCCTTTATCCTTGACTTTTGGACTTGAGGTAGTCAAGGCATTTAATAATCCCTGTTAAAAGACTCTGATGCATTTTTCAGTATGACAATTGTGTTTTTCAGCTCCAGTATTTCTGCTTGATTCTTTTAAATTATTTCAATCTCTTTGTTAAATTTATCTAATATTGTCTTTGGGTTAAATCTGCTTGCTGTTCTATAACCTTCTTGTACTTAGGTATCGATGTATTTCTCTAGGTTTGGGAAGTTCTCTGTTATTATTCCTTTCAATAAACCTTCTACCCCTGACTTTTTCCTCTACCTCCTGATTAAGGGCAATAACTCTTATATATTCCCTTTTGAGGTGCCTGTAGGCATGGTTAATTGTTTTTTATTCTTGTTTTAATCTCTTCTGACTGTGCATTTTCAAATAGCCAGTCTTCAAGCTCACGAATTCTTTGTTCTGCTTGACCAAATCTGCTGTTAAAAGACTCTGATGCATTTTTCAGTATGACAATTGCATTTTTCAGCTCCAGTATTTCTGCTTGATTCTTTTAGATTATTTCAATCTCTTTGTTAAATTTATCTGATAGAATTCTGAATTCCTTCTCTGTGTTATCTTGAAATTTCTTTAAGTTTCCTCAAAATAGCTATTTTGAATTCTCTACCTGAAATGTCACATATCTTTTGTTTTTCCAGGATTGGTACCTGGTGCCTTATTTCGTTCATTTGATGAGGTTATGTTTTCCTGAATTGTCCTAATACTTGTAGATGTTTATCTGTTGCTGGGCATTGAAAAGTTAGGAATTTATTAGAGTTTTTGCAGCCAAGACTTGTTTGTACCCATCCTTCTTGGGAAGGCATTCCAGATATTCAAAAGGACTTAGGTGTTATGATCTAAGCTGTATCTGCCTCAGGGAGCACCCCAAGCCCGGTGATGCTGTGCTTCTTACAGACTCATAGAGGCCTCCTTGATGATCTTGGACAAGATCTGGGATAATTCTCTGGATTACCTGGCAGAGACTTTTGTTCTCTTCCCTTACTGTCTCCCAAATAAACAGTCTCTCACTCTGTTGTGAGCCACCTGAAGCTGTGGGTGGAGTGAGACAAGCACCCTTGTGGCCACCACCACCATGACTGTGCTGGGTCATACCTGAAGCCAACACAGCACTACATCTTGCTCAAGTCCTGCTTTAACCCCTCCCTGGCTACTGCTTATGTTCTCTCAAGACCCTGAGGCTCTACAGTCAGCAAATGCCAAAGCCAGTGGGCTTGTGTTCTTCCCTTCAGGGCAGCAATTTCCCCCAGGCCCTGGGTGGGTCCAGAGGTGCTGTCTGGGAGCCAGGGACTAGCATTTAAAACCTTAGAAGTGCACCTGGTGTTCTGTTGTACTGTGGCTGATCTGACACTCAAACCACAAGATGTAGTTCTTCCCACTCTTCTCTCCCCTTTCCAAAGGCAGAGGATCCCCACCCCATGGCCACTGTCACCACAAAACCATGGTAAGTAGTGCCAAACTACCACTGCTGTTTCCTTAAGGCCTGAGGTCTCTTCAATCAGCTTGTAGCGAATGCTGCCTGGCCTGGGCCTCACCCTTCAAGGACAGTGGGCTCCCCTCTGGCCCAGGGCAGGTCCAGAAATGCCATCCATCCAAGAGCCAAGTCCTAGAATTGTGGACCCCAAGAACCTGCTTTGTTCTCTAGCCCCCTATGCATGAGCTGGTACCTAAGGTACAAGACAAAGTCCCCTTTCCTTTTTCTTCTGCTTTTTTGAAGCAGAAGGAATTGTGCCCCGTAGTCAACCGCAGCTCCAGATGTGCTGGGTCTCACCTGAAGCCAACAAGTCTCACAGTCTCACACAGGGCCCTTGATTTAGTACTTGGGTATCATTGCTGCTTTTTCAGGGCCCAAGGGCTCTTCAGTTAGCTGGTGATGAATGGTGCCAGGATGGGGTCATTCCCTTCTGGACCAGGGTATGTCTAGGAATGTCATCCAGGAGCTTGGGCCTGGAAAGGGGCCCTCATGACTCTGACCAGTGCCCTATCCTGCCATGGCTAAGCTAGTATCCAAGATGCAAGATAAAGTTTTCCCTGTTTTCTCCTCAAGCGGAAGGAAGGAGTCTCTTTTGGAGCCATGAGCTGTAAAGCCTGGGGTTAGGGAAGAGATAATACCAGCACTCTCTTGGCCACCCTGGCTGGTGTTTTAGTATGTTGTGTGTCACCCCTATCCACTGTCTCTGGGCCCTGTTCAGCATTAGAACTCTCCTAGGATTTGCAGTCCTTGTGGCCTAGACTGTGTTTCAAGTTTATTTATTTAAATCCTCATAGCACTTTAGCCCATGGTGTCCAGGTTTGTGGGAACTCAGGTTCCAACTGCCAGGATTGATGATTCCGCTCTGGCTAGGGCTGGTTTAAATGCTCCCTCTGTGGGTGGGCATCAGCTGAGTTTGGTCTTGTTTTCCTTTCTGCTCTATCAGGACAGCAGCAAGTTCAATGCCTCACAATTGCTGTGCTCTCCCTCCAGCACAAAGAAACACTCTAGTCACCACGCTACCACTGCCTGGGCTTCAGGAAGGTGTGGCATCACTGATTTAAGATGGTTTTTTTTTTTTTTTTTTTAAGGTTTTCAGTGCCTTTTTCAGTGATGCGAAGTTAAAACTGGGTACTGTGAGTGCTCACCTGATGTTTGGTTCCTATGAGGGTGCTTTTTTGTGTAGATAATTATTAAATTGGTGTCCTTGCGGGGGGCTAGGGAAGGCAATTGGTGGAGCCTTCTGTTCTACCATCTTGCTCCACCTCCTCCAACATTTTCTTTATCTACTTATACATCAGTGGACACTTGGGTTGCTTCCACCTCTCGCCTATTGTGAATAATGCTTTTATGAACATAGGTGTACAACTATCTCTTCAAATATCTGCTTTCATTTTGTTTGGGTATGTAGCCTGAAGTGGAATTGCTGAATTCTATGGTAATCTTTTTTTTATTTTATATTTATTTTTTTCTTTGTTTTTTGGAGAGTAGTTTTATTAGCTTGGGATATAATGGGATCATCACTAGGAGGGCAGGGTATTCCACTGGTTACCACGTGCAGCTGTCTGGGGAGCATGATAAAATTCAGTCCAGGGTTCTGTGCTGGGGAGCAGGGCCTTGAAAAGAAGGCAAATTGTCCAGGGAAGTAGTAGCTGTGAGGGTCATGGCTACCTTGCTCCACTCTACTGCACTGGATCTCCTGGTGCTTTTCAGGCTCCTGTCAATCCTGCATCTGTATGGGGCAATGGACCATCTGGCCCAAAACTTCATCCTCAAGTTTGATGTAGGCCAGGCATTTCTGCTTCTTTCCACTGGACTTGACTTTGCACTCAGGATTCTTCTTGCAGAAATTTATATACTGGAGCTTAAATTCTAGCCCCACAAAGTTCCCTGCTGGGGAGAGTGTATCCATAGCACTGCTCATATTGGTCTCCCTGAAGGCTCACTGCATAAGTGGATGCTTATGGAATTTCCCCAGGGTACCTGCAGGCCCTGCTGCTAGGCCTTTAGGAGCTCAGCCCCGCCTAATCCCATGGTGCCCAGCCATAGGTCCAGCAGGATCAGCAGCTACTGCATGGGTTTCCCTCAGTCACCCTGGACCTTCTTTCCTGTGCCTTCAAGAAATTTCCTAACCTTCACCATGGCTAAATCTTGGCCTCAGCTGTCAATCTCTTCCTGGTCTTCTCCCCCTGCACATCCCTGCCCCTGATGCTCTTTCCTACTGTGGGGGCCTGTTTTCACTTATGTACTTATTTTCTCCCTGGAATTATAAACCCTGTTGATAGACTGTAACATCCTTAAAGTCAGCAAAGATAAACATGTTTCTATCTTCATGATAACCAGTTATTATTTGGTCTACAATACAATGTAATTTTTTTAAATGTATTTTCAGCCTTGCTGTAAGAAACAGTCTAATGGGAACTTATAGTTGTGTTTATCAAAAGAGTTTATTGAAGGTGTTGTTTATTACATTACACAAGGATTTCTTCCCACAAGAAATCCTTTTTGCTGACTTTAGTGTCAAAAATGGATGGGCATGTTTGAGGTGATGGATATTCCAATTACCCTGTTTTTATCATTATACTTTGTATAATGTATCAGAATATCACATGTATCTCATAAGTATATACAGTTATTATGTATCAATTTAAGAAAAGACTGGATGGGCTTCTCCGAGAAACTGGCTTGCTGTTATCTAATGAATGTTTTAAACTATTAATGTTTTTCATTTGTATGAATTTTTTATATTTTCATTATTCTGGCTCCCACTTTATGACTAACCATATTTTCCTCATCTACTTTGAATTTGTATTGCCCTCCTGAATTGTGTGTGTGTAAACAATATACTTAAATGCCTTTTGATGCAAAGCATAATTTAAATAAATATATATTAAACAAAGACCTTAAAGTTTTAATGGAAAATAGAAAAACATTTTTGGTATAATGACTTTTGGTATGGTACAAACAAACAGTCTAGAGGTTTGGAAACCATCCTTTCCGTTCCTCCCTCACTCCTAATTCTGCATAGTCTTTAAGAGCATGGATTTAGAGGCAAATGGACTTGGGTTTAGACCTTGCCTTACCATTTATAAGCTGTTGGATCCCAGGCATGGTCCCTAAATTTAAATTTTCTTATCTGTAAAATCAAGATAATGATATACAGTTCATAAATAATAGAAGGTATTACTATTATTCAGCATCAATTCTTCTATATAGAATTGATATAAAACTATTGAAAGTGTAGCCTTTTTCAAAATAAGTTAGGACAGAGTAAATGAGAACAGTCCCAGAAGAAAATTATCCTTCCTTTTAAAATTTTATTTGGTTTTCTTGAGAATCCTTGTGAAAACAAATCATATGCTACTTGTTATAGAGCGACTGCTTGCTTGTAGGAGGACGACTGTTAAGGATGCCTTTGAAGAACATAAAGAACAGGGGTTTCTCAGGTCAACATGTATTATATTGGTATCTAAAAACTATTTGCAATGTTTCCCCTTTCATTCATTCAAATGCCACTTCAGATTGAATGCCATCTGGGTACTCTACACAGTATTGAATTCATCAAGAGTATGCTAGCATGGACTTTAGTCCTTGGTAGTTTTAATTTTTTTTTTCTGGTAGGTCTAGAAGAGTGTGATTTCATTAGCCACTGTTGTATGTTATTCTTTTTCATTTTAATAACTGTATGTTTCTATCTCTCTTTACCCATTTATTTTTGCAAGGGTATGAATCCACTTTATTGTTGAGATGTGTTTTTTCAGTCTTGAGATGGTCCGATATAGTCGAATTAGGTTTGATTTTGGATCCTCTGGGACCAGGTTTTAATTATTGGTTTGCCTGTGAGTTACTTACTGTGTACACTTAGAGAATTACCTAATCTCACTGAGCTTTAATTTCTTCACTTCTGAAATTGGTATAACAGCAGTCTCTTTGACACGACTTGGCATCTTTCTGTTTACTTCCCATCCTCACCATTATCCTGTAATCTTCTAAAGGAATATTCTACATGCAAGGCCTTCACTTTCTCATTTCCCAGTCACTGCTCAATCCCGTAGTCTGTCTGGCTTCTCTTTGCCTTATTCTAATACTGTTCTGGCTAAAATCATTGATAATCTCTTAATTCTCAGAGTGCTTTAGTCCTTATCTTACTAGAATGCTGTGTTGCATTTAACACTTGTCTGTCGTGCCTTTCTTATTATTACCTTGTCCTCTCTGATCCATTTTTGTTTTCATTCTTAGATGCCCCTTTGTCTGGCCAACCCTCAAGTTGTATGGACCACTATACCTTTCACCCTATACAGTTGAGGGAGATTGGTTCCAGGAACCCCCACAGATACCAAACTCTGCAAATGCTCATGTCCCTTATATAAAATAGTATGGTATTTGGATATAATCTATGAAATCCTCTTGTATACTTTAAGTCATCTCTAGGTTACAAATAATACCTAATACAAGTACTGCATTCCTTGAGGTCTGTGTCTTATTTACCCTTTTATCTCCAGCGTTCACAGCAGTGTCTGACAAATAATTCCTTCATTTTTCCCCTTGTTCCTGACTTTAGAGTCTTCCTTTTAAAATATAAATCCTGTTTAGCTCTGTGACACTGTAATTACTACCAACTCCATTTAGATATTCAGCACATATTTGTAATAGTATCAATTTACATGTTTATTTTATTTACAAATAACTCAGTGAACTCTCACACAGATCCATAATGTTGTCTTATAGTTATTAGGCAGGGAGTCCCTCATCTTACTCACAGGCTATAAATCTACCTGCATCTACACCCATCTTCTCCTCCTTCCCTCCTTTTTCAATAGAGATATACAGTTCTTATCCACATTTAAATATCTTCAAGTCTCTAACATCTTTAAGAAAGAAAAACAGACTCTCTCTCTCAATCCCATATTCTCTAGATATCCTCTTATTTTTCTCTTCTCTTACGTAGCCTGACTGCTTTGAAGACTCCTCAACCCATTCGATGCTGGCTTATTGCCATCACTGTGAAAACAACTCTCAGGAATATCACTAGTGACTTTCACATTGCTATATCCAGTGAGAACATTTCAGCCCTCATCAGTATACACATACTAATGGAGAATGAAAGAAAAAGAAGATTGTATAGGGAGGCTACAAAGTAATTCTAGTTACTTTAAGGAATTTTGAGACTATAGTAAAGACATCTGTGGCCTTATACTAGACCCTGTCAGGAATCACACTGCTTTTAGGACTGACTCATTTTCTTTCTCAATGGCTACATAATCTCTCTGTTTGGAAACTTGACTTCCTTTTGCACATCTTTTCTAATTTCATCTCTGTTTTTTCTATTCTCTTATAATTTCTGCTCCTCCATAACTTCAGCTGGAATGTAGCCCCTTATAGCCTCTGGTCTCCCTCCTTGACATAATGAGGACCTCTTAGTTTCAGCTAATTGCCTTATTTTCTTGGTATTCTTTACTTAAATTTCTAGAGCGTTAGTTTTATTAGTCCAGTTCATCATTTGTATCAGGCCACTTCACAGGTGATTGAAACCGCCTCAATCTATAGCCTAGCCAATCACTTATGAATTGCCCTGGGTAATCCTGATTTCTACTTTTGGATTTGAGTAAAATCCAAATGATAATGGATTAAGGAGCGCATCACAGGTGAGGAAATAAGGGTAAGGGCTTGAATCCAAAGAGGGTGACAGACTAGTGGGGAGCACACATGATCAACAAAATCAAATAAAGGATTTTGTGTTTTATTTTAAGATGGCAGAGATTTGAACATAGAATGAGTCAATAGGCAATAGTTGAAACAAAGAGAGAATTTAATTTTTTAGTTATTGAAGTTGTGTTAAGGTGGCAGAAGATGGGACTACAGAGTACAGAAAGATAGATTAGCTTTAAATAGGAAGGATACCTCTTCCTCTGAAGTGGAGTTTAAGTAAGAAAGTAAGAATTTGATGCAGATAAATTTGAAAATAGGGGAACCTGCCTGTTGGCATACTTTATGAAATAGTCAGCAAGGAGAACTGCACAGAAGAAAGATAAAGATTTCCAGTACGTGCTGAGGAAAATTCAACTAGGTACCTAACAACTACGAGTATGATGAAGTGATTTTCTTTTTCACTGTAGCCCATATGTAGGTTAAGAAAGGGCGAAGGATTTGGCTAGTTCAGAGTTAAAATGGACTTAATTTGTGACATGGTAGCATTAATGCTTGCTTCTAACCCACCCTTCACATTTATTTGGTTTGACCATGTTTTCATTCTGGTCTTTCATACTTTTATTTTGTAGGTCTTGATGACTGTTTGCAGCAGTATATTAAGAACTTTGAGAGGGAGAAGATCAGTGGGGACCAGCTGCTGCGCATTACACATCAGGAGCTAGAAGATCTGGGGGTCAGCCGCATTGGCCATCAGGAACTGATCTTGGAAGCAGTTGACCTTCTGTGTGCATTGGTAAGGACATAAAACTGGTGAAGAGGGAAACTTCTCTTTTTCTTCTTTTGTTGCTTTTCCCTTTTTTCTTCTCCTCTTTTGATAATCGAAATGCAAATAGAAGAAAAAAACTCTGATTCTCAACCAGCTGGACCTGATATTTTCTTCCTTCCTTAAATTTATTATATTAGTGCCAAATAACAGTTCCCTGTTTGTAACATCTTTTATAACAGTAAGACTTGGGTATATCAGAACCTTAAGTCCAGAGTGTATGTCTCATAAGCAGGGCTCTTCATAGATGAACCACTCATGTGCTAGGCTCTCACACTGCCAGTTGAGAAAGGAAAGAATATTGATTGACAGTGTTACATACATACAGTCTAGACGTTTGAAGTTTGACCCATGAACAAGGCTCTGCCGACCTAAACCTACTTAAAAGGATGGCATCAGAAATAGATGTCTAGACCACTTCTAAGTTTGAACCATGTAGCTGTGGTGAATCCTTTCTGATGCTGAGCTTTAATCCCTGTACAGTTCTGGGTTTAAGCACCAGGTTTAAGTCATGTCATTTGGATAGTTCATTATGTGATTGAGCTCTTCTGGAAGTTAATGCGGAAAATAAATTTAAACACCATTTTTTTTTCTGTTTATTCAGCAATTCCTTAGTCGCAGTCCCCAAAGAGGTCAAATGTTAAACTTCCTTCTTACCCCTTCCTAATGTAGTGGATATACATCAACAAGTCAGAAGTACAGATGTATTTCAGTTTATGCAACAGATGCTTTCTGGGGAATATAAAGCAAATTTCTGGGTAGTGAATTCTAATTTTCTTCTACATACCATTATGAAATCAGGAGGTGAGATTCCTTATCAACAAGCTGAGTTGACTAGTCCAGGAAGTTGTGCTATTGGGACTATATCTTTACCTCCTTCCCCTCTATCCCCAACTACTCTTTGAATTTCCGTTTACCCTGCTAAGTCTTGTCTCTCTGATCTTTACTGGCCTTTCTACATTTTCCTTATGTCTACTGTATTCATTTCTTTTTCAACAATTACATATTCATGCTCAAACAGTGCTATCACGGGGAATGCAAAGATGAAAAAGACAGTCTGTACTCCTGAAACATATACAGTCCATTAAGAAAGACAATAGCCATCAGAAGACAACATAGATTTAAAGAAAATTCCAGGGGAGTGTAGAAGGAAATGAACACTTCTGAGGGATTCAGGAAGTGTAGGTAAGATATGCATTTGGTCTTGCAGGATGATGAGATGTTTGCCAGACAAAAAGTTGGAGAAAAGTTATCTAGGCAGAAGAAATATCATGTGTAAAGACAGAATTGTGAAAGAATATGGAATATTCAGAGAAAATTGAGAATTTTCATTTAGCTTGTGCAGAATGGGAAGTGATGGGAAAAAAGGGAACTTAACACCTTGTATTACAATTCTTTGCTTAGGTTCTTTTATCCTTTAATTCATGTTGGGCTCCTCAAAGGAAGACATCTTTGTTTAGTTCATATTTTTTATTCAGCTTTCTGCCCAGTGCTTAGCTCATAAAAGATGCTAAATTAATGTTATCTTACTGAATTAAACTCTCTGTCTTTCTTCAGAGAAGCATAATTTTTCTCTTACCTGCATAGCCTTTGACTTTGAAGTTTCTGTTCCTCATATAAAGGAAGACATAGAAAAATTAGCAGATTCCTTTTGTTTCTTTAAGCTATACTATATTTTCGTCTACCTTGTCTTGAAGTTATTCCTTATGTGAATAAATGTTTATGGCAGCTGATGAGAATCAAAGGTTTATTTAGTCACTTGTTTATTCATGCAACATATATTTATTAAGCATCAGATATATTGTTTGCATCATGTTATTCTAGAAAGAAGTAAGCTGTTCATGATTTGGAGGTGTAATAATATTTCAAGCTATTAAGCTATAATTTAGTATGCTTTAATAGAGAGCAAAGATATTAACTGAAAGAGTAAAAATGTAAATAAAAATATATATATAGCTTAACGTATGGTCCTTAATTTGTGTTCTGACAATACACTTTTTATTAGGAACTGTAAATAAATCATTTATGACAGGATAAGAACAGTTTTCATTTCATTTTTCATGTACTTATAATTTCAGGCATTTTGCATGAAAGATTTGATGTTTGCAATTGCTGGGATTTGTTTCTTTGCAACATAATTGCTTGGTTCATTCATCTTAAAATAATTTATTTTCCAAAAAAATTCATTAAAGCAAGCCTTTTAGGACTCACTCATATTTATAAAGCAATGTATTATAAAGCTAAAAAGGTGCTACACGATGCATTCAAATTAAGAACTCTGAATAAAATGGCATTGACATTGTAAAATCTGTTGTTGCCAATATTAAGTATTTCTAGTTAAGTGGTTAGTGAAAATTTGCCACTAGTGAGGATATAGCTGACCTTATTTTTCTAAAATGTTAAATACATTTCTTTATTTCTTTCAAATGCTTTTGCATGCATATGATTGAAAGAGAAGGCTGATATGAACTTAGCATAAATTCATTAAGACTTAAATGGCTGTGTTGAATCAGTTCTAAGTCATTACTGGTTCTGGCACATGGTAATGGCCAAGTATATGAACAAATAAGTAACATATATGACAAACACAGCAGCTAAGTACATTTCATGTATAAGTTTTTGTTTTCTTGAGGTAGTCCTTTTTATACTAATAGTAATACCAAGTTTTGCTATGCATATCCAATAAAAAGCAAATCTGTGGTGAATAAACCTGCATTTTTAAAAAGTTGAGGCAGTGCCCTCCGTACCCCTGGCCTAACACAAAAGGTGCTTGATATACTTGTCAGTTCTTTAAATGGTAGGTAAGGGTGTGTGATTTACTGGTGACTTACCATGTCACAACAAACCATCCACTTACATGAAAGAAATAGCCAGAAGGTATCTGTATTGGTAGTAATTGAGAATTGTAATTATAAAAATTAACCTGAGGCTGGGCATGGTGGCATGCCTGTAATTCCAGCACTTTGGGAGCCTGAGGAGGGCAGATCACTTGAGCCTAGGAGTTCAAGACCAGCCTGGGCAATGTAGCAAGACCACATCTCTACAAAAAATTTAAAAATTAGCCAGGTGTGCTGGCATACACCTGTAGTACCAGGTACTTAGAAGGCTGAGGTGGAAGGATCGCTTGAACCCAGGAAGTCCAGGCTGCAGTGAGCTGTGATAATGCCACTGCACTCCATCCTGGGTGACAGAACGAGACCCTGTATCAAAAAAATAAAATAAAATAAATTTTAAAAATTAAAAAGTTAACTTGAGAGATCAATTAATCTCTTTTGTTAAAATAGTAGCACATAAATCTGGTTACATACAGATGAGCTTCTTACCTATTATACTCTTCTAAATTTTTAAAACATGTTTTTAGATTATCAGTGTAGTTATGTTCATTAACTAGAGCAAGTTTTAACAATTTCCTTCCCCATCCTCTGCTACATATCTTTTAAAGATTCTTTTTTCCTCTGCATTTCTCTGTCCTCTACATTTTTCACCTCTATTCTGCGTAATATATTTTTAGGAGGTTTCCAAGTTAGAACCTCTGAGAGTATCCTTCCAGGTTTTGTCCGGATGATTATTATATTCCCTAATTCTTGAGTCATATGAAAAATAATAATTTTAGTTTCTTAAATTTTGAAGACTCTGGAATATTTTTACTTTGCCTTTGGATTTTTACTTATAAGAAGATTAATATTATTTTACCTTTCCTAATAAATCATTTGAGATGCTAGTGTTATATAGAGATAAACAATTTAAAATAATCTTTTATGGAGGCTAATAGCTACAGAGTGAAATATCAGTTACCAAGTTGAGTAGGTTTCTCGCTAATAAATTGTTATAATTTGAACTTCTCTAAGAGATTACTATAATTTGTTGGCAAACAAATGTTTTCTTATTAAACTCATTTATACACAAAAATGAAAAATACAATCATTTTTTACTTTAGAAAAATGCTTTAACACAGGGAAAACTTCTGAAAATACTTTGCTTTTCAGTATTTTCATTTACAATTACATTTACAGAAGAAATATCATTTACAGTTAGTTTGTATAGTTATAAATTGTTCTTATCTAGTCATTAGAGAGCATCTTTTATAAACATAAGAGGATTTCTTTCATACTGTAGTGACCGGCTGGACAAACTCTCCCACATTTCACAAATAATCCATTCTTAAATGCAATAGAATTTGAATAGAATGTTGTTTTATTTGCCCAAGCAAATCTTTTAACATGAGAGAAGAATATTACAGTTCAAATTAAGCAGTGAATATTTAACATATTAATACTATGTTATTTTAGAAAACAAATTTATAACTTTAGAAGAAAGTGTTCTTTTAATAAATATGTAAATTCCCAGCAAAAGACAAGCAGACTTTTATCACGATTAAATCTGTAGTGGTAACATACATAACTTGGTATTTAATGTTTAGGCATCAAAACCTTCCTCTCCCCTCATTTTGTCTCCACTAAGTTTTCTCTTGTCTTAAATTGTCATAGGAAAAAAAGACACCTAAATGTTATATACAAAGTAGGTACCCAGTGATTGTTGACTTAATAACATAGCTTAATTCATTGTATGGCTTACTTTCCTTTTTCACCCTTCATCTTCCACTTTGACTTAATTATTGTTACCATGTTTCTGAGAATAGGAGTAGAATATTGGTGCTAAGGAATGTGGTAGACATATCCGCTCACAGATGGCCTGGTGACTTGTAGTTCCATTCTGAACTCTGTCTAGTCCAAGTACAGAGTTTTTTAAGCAAACTGTTAAAAAAGAAATCTTCCCATACCTCAGTTTCCCCAACTGTGAAAAGGTAAGTCAAACTTAGCCTCCCAGGCCCAAGCAAATTCTTACATTCTTTGGGTTTTGCCATTTTAAGTAAGGTGGTAATAACTTTAACTTTACACACAACAGTAATGTGCATGCTGCTAAGTGTTTTAATCAAGGTTATCCTTGGATAATATTAACCAGCCTTTTTAAGGGGTGTTTTACAACACACAATTAGCTGCTTTACATTTTAATTGTAACTTTTGAAAACTTTCCCCAAAGTTTGAAGGGATCCTACAATCTTTTTCTATTTGAAGATAGTAAAAAGGCTTATTACACTTATTCATATAACCCGTTTCTGCTATAAAGTATAATAGATAAGATATTTAGGATGAATTAACAAATATTAGTTGAAATGTGAGAACAAAGAAAAGAAGAAAACAAATACACTTACCAAAAAGTCACTGTGATTGCTTTTGGTGTGCTTCATATTTAGTTGTGAGCTAATACAGCCAGGACAAAAACAAAAATAATTTTAGTTTCATAATTTGTATTACAAAAAGGAGAAAGTATATTAGTTCCCCTGAGGAAGCAGAGTTTTTCCTGATACCATATTATAAAAGAAACTTCTTATACATCATTATGTAGAGTACGTATTTTTTTATCTGATTTATTTACCTGATTTATTTCTTGCTTTTTCATTTTATTATTGTTGGTTGTGTTTATTTTCCTAACTTTGGGGAAGCAGAATTATCCCTAGTACCTACATTCCTGACCATGTGTATTGTTAATAGAATATCTACTCAAAAATAATTGTTGATAATAATTAATTTCACAAGTAAATAAACTTAGGTTTTGGTTTTAAAAAACAAATTTATTATTTCTTACAATCTTGCTTTCTTGGGTAGCATAGTTCTAAGATACAATGCCCTTATCTTTCCATGTTCATATTAGTACTTAACACATTTTATTATAATTTCTTTATATGACATCTTCCCAAATAGTCACTTAACTGTGGGCTCCGCTAGGTCAGGAATCCTATCTTATTCATTTGTAACTCGAATGCTACCCCATTGCCTGTGCATAATAAAGTATTCAGTAAATATTTTCATGAATGAATAAAACTGACTTTAAATATATTCTCTCTCTTTTTTATAATTCAGAATTATGGCTTGGAAACAGAAAATCTAAAAACCCTTTCTCACAAGTTGAATGCATCTGCCAAAAATCTGCAGAATTTTATAACAGGAAGGAGAAGGAGTGGCCATTATGATGGGAGGACCAGCCGAAAATTGCCAAACGACTTTCTGACCTCAGTTGTGGATCTGATTGGAGCAGCCAAGAGTCTGCTTGCCTGGTTGGACAGGTAAAGTCTTCCGCATGTTTCATAAGTATCCTCTCCTCAGACACCAGTTTGAATATAACATTATTTTGCATTTTGTTGTGAAAGGATTGGACAGGCAGAGGAGTACCAAGTAATAAATGTCTAATGATGATTTACCACAATATAGGGGTATTAAATAGATATTAGTCTTTTATAAAATTTGATGTCCAACTAAGTAGCCAATCAATAATTAGTCTGACAACTGTAAAATACCTTGCTGCTTTATAAGCAAAATCATTATTTGGCTGTCATAATAAAATTTATAAATTTTTGTTTATTATAATACTGCTTTGTGTCCTGATGTTCTTTATTCATATTAATTGGTTGTACTTAAGGAAATGACCATTGGGATTCTATAAACTGTTTTAAATAGGTAATTAGACACTGACACCTTCATAGCATGCCTTGTATGTCTCCTTGGCCTCGCTTCATTCATTCTCTGTTATTAATTACATTGTACTATTTTGGATATCATAAACACACTTTTAGACTTTTTTAAGTTTAGTTGACTTTCATTTGTTTTGGAACACATAAAATAGTATAAAAGTCTTGTAATATGAAATGAAAATGTTAGATTTAAATTATATACTGTATGTGGTTAAACATTATCATGATAAAACACATTACAACTGTTTATTAAAAAACTAAACAAATTCTCTACTTTCAGTTTTGGAATTTTTGGTAAGGGGTATGTACTATGTTTAATGGCTTAATAATCAAATTTTAAAAATGCTCTTTGTCTTTCATAAGAAACTCTGATAATATACATTACCAGAATTCTTTCTTGAATAATTGTCAGTAGGATATTCATATGTGTTCCTACACACACACACACACACACACACACACACACACACACACACGCCAGTATTACATTTTGGCATTTTAAAAACATGAGGCCTTATATTAAAAGTAAAGCTTTTGTATTTTTAAGGTGAAAATTGAGATAATTTTCCTTAATTTTATATTGTCTAATTTTATATATACTTATACATAATATAAAGTGATGATACTAAATCCAAATATGAAACACTAAACTATATATTACTAGCTTTTTGATAATTAATTAATGGACTACATGTTTATTTTGCATTATAACATTATTAAAATTTAATTTTCATAATTGTCTAAGCCACATTATCAAGTGTTTAAATTAATTGAATTTTAAATATATACATTCCAAAAGTTATGAATGGTCAGTAAGTAAAATATGGCTTAGTCCTTAAGTACTATTAATATAATACATTTGTTTTGGTAGGCTTTACAGTAATCAGAAGGCTTAAAGAACACATCCTTGATTATAATTGTATCTTCTTTTACTCTCATTTTCCCTATAATTATAAATTTGCTCAGCCTTGATATCTGCATTTAGTAAATTCATTTATATATTTTTTACCCTAGTATTTGTTAGATGGATAGATAAACTGTTAGAGTGAATAGAAAATGTTTTTACTTCTTGATGACAGATATGGCTATTTATAAAATCGCACATTTCCCACACTATAGTAGTCCTTGAGATTTTATCGTATCAATTTTTTATGGTGGTATTACTTTCATTATGTAATAAAATGCTTTTGGTAAGTGCCAAATCACCTACAAAACACATATGTGCATGCACACCTACAAAAGCACATAAAAACACACCCAGTGTGTCAGTGCAGATTTGCTTTAATTTGAGGGATTTAAAATGAACCCTGCAAATGAATACTGCCAAGCATTTGATCTTTAACTTTAGTTTATTCCTTCAATATACAATACTTTAGATGAAGAATAAAAATTTTGTCAGTTAAATAGGATTAATTTGATGTTATAAGCACCTGTTTTCATTTTTAAACAGCTATAAGTTTTATGGCATTACAAAATTTTTATTACATTTTGGAGAAAACGTGTATCCACAGCAATATGTTTTGGGTTTATTACAGTTTTTATTTTATGTCACTTGAAAGAGGAGAAAGAAAAAGAAAGAATAGGTTAAAAAAAATCTTTAATTTTATTCTAGATGCTGAACTAGATGCTTTATACATAAGTATATATACTCTCAGCTCATTGAATTCTCACAGAGCAGATATTGTTATCTCCATTTTACATATGAAATGTGAAATAACTTGCCTAAAGTCATTCATCTAGTATGAAAGTTATACTTTGAATTTATTTTTGTCTGACATTGAAGTCCTGTTATTTTTTCCTTCATGTTCCTTTATCATGCTACACCTCGTTTTGAATGCTGACTAATTCTTGAGGATTTTGAGGAAGGGATATGGCATATAAACCTTTATTTACATTTTGCTATTTCTCTTCAAAAGCTAAATAAGACTACCACTTTTCTGTTTTGGGCCTCAGTATCTGAAATTGCTACATAGAACTTCATTTATAGAAAATGTTTATTTCACTGTTTATGGTAAAAGTTTACTATTTTCTCTCATTTTTAACATTAATATTTAATTCTAATTGTTTCTAAAATACCTTTCAAGATTATTCTATTTTAAAGGGATCATTGAAATATTTTTGATAACATTGCAAAACCTTTAAATGTTTAGGGCGTAATAGTGTGCTAGGAAAATAATATTTATGACTCACAAAAACTCCAGTTTCAATGGAGCTTCCATTTAAATGAGATACACGTTCAAAGACCAGCTCCTTACATTTCCTAAATAAGATAAAATCTAAGGTTAACACAATTCCATTTTTTCTCCTATTTAAAATATTGATTTCAGTGAAACACCAGACTTTCCCAGAGGAATAGTCTCAGAGGTGAATCACAGTTGGTAGCTTTACTGTTTATTTTCAATGCATGGTTTACTTGTCTGTTTTTAACCTACATCCTACTGTTTTTGACACCTCATATTTCTTGCAGTTTTCTGTGGCTTTGCCAAATCGATCTATACTCAGAAGTTTACAGATCACTACAAGTGTTACGTTGTACAGTAACATTAGTAAAAATGTTCAAAATTATTATTAAACAAAGTTTATTTTGCCTTTCATAGTAAAAGTTTTTTTCCTTCATTTTTACCAGTAATACCCAATTCTGAGAGTTTATAAAATACCTTTTTAAGGTCATCCTGTTTTGATGGGATCAGTGAGATCTCTTGATATCATTGAAAACCTTTTACATATTTAAGGCATAAGAGTTTAAGGTACTAGGGAATTTTTGTTAAGATTTCTCTGAAATTTTTTGTCTTATGTAAGAAAATTGTTAAACTAATTTCTTCTTCCATGATAAGAAACTAAAGGACAAATTAATTTTATACCAGGAAAAATATTACAGAGACCAAGAAAACCACATCAAACGCTACCAGATAATGTGATCCATTGTTTGGTCTTATTTTCTCTCATGTGCTCATTGTTTCTCACTTAGCACTAATTATTCAAGGGAAGAGCAGTGACATTAGCACTACCATTATTCACAGACTACCCTAAGGTTTCAGCAGTGCCAACCTGAGAAATAGTAAGGCATTCCAGATTTTCCTTATTAACCTCTTAGCTTTCCTTATTAGTTTCTAATTTGTTTAGGATTTCTGAATCGTTAATAACCTTTTTATAAATGTAATACTTTTGTTTAGATATAATGTACAAAGAATAATTTCTTATAGGGTCTTAAACTTTTGCACCAGAGAGAAATATAAGCATCGTATTATCTATATGATGATTTAAGGAGTACAGTCGCTTAATTTTTAAGATTTAAATAGGATAATTCCTGTAACAGCCACTTATCGATGATCCAAGGATTTTATCTTTTTTTCTCTTTCTGGCATCAAAAAGCTTTCTTGCTATGAATTTAATTTCCTTTAATTAGAGTTATTGTGTTCTTCTTGTAAGTACCCTGAACTCTACTTGAGGATTTCTTCAGACTTAAGAACAGTTTCTTTATTTTTGTTTTTGTTTTTGTGTGTGTGTGTATGTGCATGCATGCTGATCATGTTCAGTTATTCTACAGAGATCTATCGTTTTTACTCTCATAGATGATCATTAAGTCATGACTGAGTGATAATCTTTGGTAACCCACAAAGATTGGAGCCCCACCTGACCTTTTACCCTTATTTATATGTAGATACAGCCCAAATCATCATACCAAACCTTAAAATCTGCTGGCTAAGAATGGCTGTTAGTACAGTTGTATATGATTTGCCTCTAAGATAAAAACTTTAGGGTAATTCTAAATCACTACAAAATAAAATCTGTTTTCCTTGGTATGTGTTTAGATTTTTCTTTTCATTTTTTCTTGAAATTTAATCTTGAGTGAAAAGCTTGTCCTACTTAAAATATGAATGGTCAGGAAAGTGGAAGACATGCCTTGGAATTCAGTTTGCTATAGGCATTTAGTGATCAAATAGATTTTTTCTTTTCTATATTTGAACATCAAGTGAGATTCTTTTAAGTAGTTATGGTAAAACAAAACAAAACAAAACAAACATGCTGTGCATCACCTCATCACTTCTTAATGAAATTTTAAGATTTTATAAACAGACTCTGACCTTTTCAAACCTAGGAATCGAAACTCTTTTCTAATCATGCCAGAAGCACTTTTGAATTCTTAGTTTAAAATGCCAGTTTTTATGCTTCAATGCAGCAAAAATGGTCTCTATGTAGTTTTTTTTTTTTTTTTTTTTGAGACAGTCTCACTCTGTCGCCCAGCCTAGAGTGCAGTGGCGTGATCTCGGCTCACTGCAACCTCTGCTGCCCAGGTTCAAGCGATTCTCCTGCCTCAGTCTCCTGAGTAGCTGGGATTACAGGCACCCGTCACCATGCCTAGCTAATTTTTGTATTTTTAGAAGAGACGGGGTTTCACCATCTTGGCCAGGCTGGTCTTGAACTCCTGACCTCGTGATCCACCTGCCTCGGCCTCCCAAAGTAATTTTTTTAAATTAATGATATTCTCCTAGAAGTGCTTATATTTTTCATTAAAAATATTTTTATTGAGGCCTAATTTATATTCTATAAATTAACCTATTTTAAGTATACAGTTTGATGGGTTTTAGTAAATTTTGATAACACCTAATACAACCACCTTTACAATCCAGTGTTAGAAAACTTCCATCAGGATGGATTTTTAACAGTTGGTTTCTGCTTACAACTAAAGAGGTTAATTTTTTTTAACTGACAATTTTGATTAATCACATTTTTTTCTAATTCAGTTTTTTAAATTCTTATGTCTCCTTTTATTTAAGTAAATTATCTTGAAAAAATATACTGGGTTTAGGAGTAGGAATAGATAAGTTCATGAAAGAGAGCCTATAATACACTGTGGTGTAGTCATGCATTGCTAATGATAAGGATTGGCAATTTTGTTGTTGTGCAAACATCATAGAGTGTGCTTACATAACCTAGATGATACAGCCTACTACACACCTAAACTATATGGTATAGCCTGTTGCTCCTAGGCTAGAAACCTGTACAGCATGTGACTGTACTGAATACTATAGGCAATTGTAACAGAATGGTAAGTATTTGTTCCATATCTAAACCCAGAAAAGGTACAGTAAGAATACAGTATTATAATCTTATGGGACCATTGTGGTATATGCGGTCTGTTGTTGACCAAAACGTCATTTTATGCAGCACATGACCGTATATAGAATCATTTAGAAAACAATATGTTAAAACCACTAGAAAAAGAAAGGGCCATTTAATAAATTGTAGTGGGGCGCTTGGTTAAGCCTTTGGAAAATAAATAATGATAGAGCACTATCTATTTTTCTTCACTAAAATAAATTTTAGATATATCAGATATCTAAGAAGAAAATATAAATTTACAAGAAAACTAGAAAAAATATAGGCAAAAATGATTTCTAGATGTGGAAAGACTTTCTAAGTATTTTTAAAATGGAATAAAATACAAAGGAATGTACTGTTGACTACATAAAAAAGAAAAACGTAATAAAGTATAAGACAGAAGACAAGCTGGGAAAAATATTTGCAACAAACAGATATGAAAAGCAGAGGGTTAATGTGTAATGTGTAATATTCATATATTAACATATGTGAATATTCATATTGATAAAAAACAAAGCCCACCAAAACGTAACAGATGAGTATATAAGTAGGTAAATCAAAAAAGAAGAAACAGAAATCACTGGTAAAATGTGTATATCAAACAACAGAGCTTTAAAGTGCATGAGCAAAAACTGACAGAATGAAAGAGGAAGTAGACAAATCCACAGTTGTAGACTTCATTTCCTCTTTCTCAAGAATAGATAAAATTAAACAGAAAGTAAGATTAGAAGAGCTGAGCACCACCACCTAAGAACAGGATGTTTTGACATTTTTAGAGCACTTCATCCAACAACAGGAGAATAAAAATTCTTTTCAAGTACCCATTGAACATTCACCAAGATAGACCATATCTGTATCATAAAACAAAATTCAACAAGTTTAAAAGAATTGAAATCAGATAATAAAATGAAACTGGTAACTCATACAGCACACTTATAAGTAATCCAACGGTCAAGTCTCATGGAAAATAAAAAGTAATACATTGAACAGAATGAAAAAAGACCAAATCATAATTTGTGGCACACAGCTAAAGCAGTGCTGAAAAGGAAGTGTATAGCACTGAATGCTTATATATATCAGAAATATATATATTCAAAATATATCAGAAATATATATAGTAAATATATCAGAAGCACTGAATGCTTTATATCAGAAAAGATCTCAAATCAATCATTTAAGTTCCCATCTCAAGAAAATAGAAAAATAAGAACAAAATAAGTACGGAGCAATAAGATCCTCTTAATGATAAGAGCAGAAATTAGCAAAATTGAAAACAATAGAGAAGTCAATCAAAATGTAAAGGTTAATGAACAAATATTACAGATAACTTCACATATAAATTTGGCAGCTCAGATGAAATGGTCCAATTCCTTGAGAAACGGTACTAAAACAACCCAAAATGAAATAGATACTCTGAATAATCCCATAACTATTGAAGAAAGTGAATATTACCTAGAAACGCCTCAGGGTGTGGAAAAAATCTGCAGGCTCAAATGATTTCATTGTTGAATTTTATATATTTGAAGAAGAAACACCATTTCTATACCATCTCTTCCGGAAAATAAAGGCAGGAACTTTTCCTATATCATTTTTTGAGGCAATCATTATCCTGATATACCCCTCCCCCCCAAAAAAAAACTACAGACCAATATTTCTCAGGAACTTAGATGTTAAAACCTTCAACAAAATATTACCAAACTAAATCTAAACGTGTAAAAAGAATTAGACACATGACTAAATGAGTTGCTTCAAACACTTGAAGATACATCAGTATACAGGTCCACCATTTACTAGTTGTGTGACCTTAGATAAGTCACTTAATCTTTCTCTACCTTATGCTTCTCCTCTGTAAAATGAGAATAATAATAGTGCCTATCTCATAATAGTTGTGAAGATTAAATTACCTGATACAGGTAAAGCATTTAGAATAGTAACTGGCACATAGTGAGCCCTCAGTAAACCTTAGCAGTTGTTATTACTAGCTCTTGATTGTGAATATTCTAAGTAGATACTGTACTCAGAATCTTAGATTCTTTTGAAAATAAACTGACATGTTATCTTTGCCTAAAGTATTCCTTTTTTGTTTTAGATGTAGTGAAGATACCTTGTAAGAACCAAAGAACTTAAATAATTAAGAACTTTAAAAAGAGAGAAATTTGGTAGAAAGCAAACATTATATTTCCTGAATTTAATTTTCTTCCAATCATTTCTTTCAAATCTTTCCTTAAAATAAGTCCTGAATATTTTTATCAGTATGGAAATTTCAGAACAATTTATTTCATATTATTGATAAACTCATTTTAGGCTACTATATTTTGGGACTTTTCAAAAGCTGTTACTAGTAATCACAATTTTCCTTTTCCCTTTATAGGTCACCATTTGCTGCTGTGACAGACTATTCAGTTACAAGAAATAATGTCATACAACTCTGCCTGGAGTTAACAACAATTGTGCAACAGGTATTAGCTGACAAACTTTCCTTCTGTTAATTTATTAGCAACTTCATATTCCAACAATGGGAAGTATCCTATGTACCAAGAGTTTTTAAGATACTGGTTTAGAAGTTTCTCAAAGACAAACCATTCTAAAGAAATGAAATGTGTAGTTATTTATTGGGAGACTGTGCATTTAGCTCAGTTAGCTTACCAGAAGATATAAAAGGAACCTGACCTGTACACACACAAACAAATGTGCCTAATAGCTTTTAACAGTGATCTAATTACCTGAACTGATTTTCCACTTCAAATATTATCTAAGCCAGGGATCCCCAAACCAGATGCCTTCAGGGTCCAGCAGCTAATATAAATGTTTAAATTAAGTCCGGTATAAGGCAAGGAGAAATGGAAGAGACTTGGGTGAATTGACTGGAACATATCCCATATCCAAACATATCTTTTAGAGGAAATGTAATTATAGGCATGATATATTAGTGCTTGTAAATTATCTCTTAAATAATCTGTTCTTTTTCTACTGTTATGTGATGATATCTCTTTTCAGTACCAAGTTTTTCTGGGCTCTGTGGTCTCTTGCTACCAGTAGTAGCAAGAAGAATAAGGATTAATAGGTAAAATAATGAAATAAAATAGTTAAGTGTTTATTTCTTTATGGTGAAACTATGGGTGATTTTATTTAGACTCGACTTTTCTCTATTTTCCAAATGAATTTTTATTTTCTAAAATGAATTTGAGTTATCAAAAAACAAAAAAGAATGTTAAGTACATTGAAGAAATACCTCTTTAAGTTTGCCAAAGGAACACAGCTTAGACAAATACTGAAATTATACTTTAAAATAAATTACATAGCTTACGAACAGTTAATGTTCATCTAATCATCTAATTCAGCCATTATATACATACTAATCACTGCATTTGATTGGAATTGTATGAAGTATCTGAAGACAGGAATTAAACTTAAGCTGCCAGTAAAAGAGGCCAATTTGAATAAGCAAGGTGTAGACTTTTAAAAAAATCTAGGACATGCATTTATTACCAGGCTTTCAAGAAATCTCTTCTGAACAGTTATGATGATGATTATGCTTTGAAATATGCTGTGCTTCAAATTATTTTTCATTCAGCTTTAATTATTTTTATTCCCTTTGCAGCAAGATGAGATAATCAATATCTAAAAATAAACTGTCACAAATGGCTTTTTTCCCCTTCCTAAAACAAAGTGGTGCTACTATGAAGTAAAAGGAAAGTGCTTCTTGATATTGGCCACTTACATTTAAAATAATACTAAAATTAGAGGAGAAAGTTAATGTCAGTTTCTTTTGAAAACCTCCATTTGCAGGAATTTGTTTAATCTGCTATATTTATTTTACTTATTCCCAGTTGTGATGGGTTTGGATCATTGTATTTGAAGCCTTTTAAAGAGATTTCCGCCCCCCTCCCCAACACTTTCCTCATCACATAAGATTGGTTATAATGACACTTTTGAAAAAAAAAAAGAGAAACTGGTTTTAAAATCTTAAATAGAATTCTCACAAAGAACTGAAGCTTCATTTAGAACACTGACAGCAACTGAATCAGAACAATGAGACAGGTACCCACACACTACTTGTCAGCCTTTAAATAATTGCCATGATGCCTTCCTTAATGGATATCAGCTTAACCTAAAATTATTCTACTGTACCATTTTTATGTTCTCCACTTCAAACACAAAAATGATGAATTAGATTGCCACTAGTTAAGAAATAAGCACAAAAGTGTTGGTTTGCAAGATGAAACTTTGGTGAAGCTTAAAATACATGGGGCAAGGTTGTAATCTTGGAAGATTTGAGACTCAGCCCTGTTTTTCATGATGATTCCACATTGGACAAACGATGTCATTGTTTTCGCCATCTGTAAACAGAAATAATCACCTCTACCTCAAAGTTTTTCTGAGAACCAAATGAGATTTATTTAAAAATAGTGAAGACTTAGAATCAACCTAAATGCCCATCAGTAGTAGACTAGATTAAGAAAATGTATATATACACCATGGAATACTGTGCAGCTATAAAAAAGAATGAGATCATGTCCTTTGCAGCAACACAGATGGAGCTTGGAGGTCATTATCTTAAGCAAACTTAACACAGGAACAGAAAACCAAATACCATATCTTCTCACTTATAAGTGGGAGCTAAACATTGAGTACACGTGGACACAAGGGAACAACAGGTACTGGGGCCTACTCGAGGGTGAAGGGTGGGAGGAGGGTGAGGATCGAAAAACTACCTTTCGGGTACTATGCTCATTACGTATGTGATAAAATCTGTACAGCAAACCCCATGATACCCAATTTACTTATATAACAAACCTGCACATGTACCCCTGAACCTAAAATAAAAGTTAAAAAAAGTAAAATAAAATAAAATAGCTGATGAGTGTAAAGTGAAAAACAAAGATGAAAATAATATTATTTACAAAAATGGGTAAGGAATAAAGAGACTTGATAAAAGGAAGTAAAATAGGAACTTTGTTTTGAAAAATAAATGTCAGAGATTTTTTTCTCCATTTGGTGTTAGTTTTCATGAGCTGCATTTACAGTGAAATCTGAATTAGGTGCTGAGGGAAAAATTCAAACATGTTAAAGAACATTTTAAATCAGATTTTGAAGTGTTAAATACAGAGTGAAAAATTCCTCTTAAAACTCAAGTTTTGATGATATGCTTTTTACCTGAACTGGTCCTCTCTAAACTGTATTTATTAAAAATCTCTGCTTGCTTATGGGTCTGTTCATTTCTAACCTTCTTAGATCCATTTTACATGTTCTTGGTTATCGCTGGTTGTCTGAATAGTGTTAAAAACATTTTACAGAAAACTGTAAGGAAGAATATTTACAATAATCCAATCCTAATTACGCAGAAACAATTAGTGCTGTTGCTTTGGTCTTTCCTGTAATAAATGTCTTTACTTAAGTTGTTATTCTGGCTTTCTGACAGTTCTTTTGTTTTACTTTGTTCCATATTTACCTGTCAGATGTATTTTATTTTCTAAACCTTTGTTCAAGTAAATGGACAAATATTCTTTAAACATCAGTATTAAAAATTTTTATTTTTGATGGACAGCCTCCTTTAAATTATGTGCTTTCTATTCACTTGTGTTACCTTTATATTATTTTAAATACAGAAAATAAAAGTAAATAATTTATGAAACATCCTCTAAATCTGCATCTTAAAATAAAGATATAAATGAGCATATTGAGTATATAGCCCTTTTTAAATGTATTCCTGCTCAAATGTAATATAACCATTTTATCTGTTTTATCTTAAGTTGTTAATTGCTCAAGGTAAATACTTGAGAAGATAAGAGTTTTTAGGACTTATTGAATTGGGATTTGTGTTTTAACTGCTTAGAGCACAAATTTGTAAATACTGTTTAGAAAGATTATAAAATTTTGTTAAAATGAATAGCCCAGAAGTAATTTTTAGTTTCATTAAGGATTTATTCAAGGAAATTTAGCCTGTAGATTTATTGATTATAGATATTATATTTTACTTAATTACATTCATGTATATGAATAGTACTTCATTTACCTTCTTAGTTGACATTTCATATCATTTACTTTCACAATTTATGGCAAAATAGTGTAGTGGGCACTGACATGAAGTAGATCCAAGTTCATCATCCTGGCTTTGCTTTTCAACAAACAGTATAAACTTGGACAAATTACTTCATATCTCTGATATTATTTTTCTTTTTCTGTAAAAGTGGATCCCTACCATTTTTTAGATTATTGTTGGGCTGTTGTGAAGATTAGAAACTGATTTAGCCCACCATCTGGCATATAGTGGGAGCTTAATAAATGGCCACTCGAGTTATTTTGTGTAGCAAAAGAGCCTTTGGAAATGCTAAACTCAGCTAGTTTCTCGCTCCACAGAAAATTTCAAGGAGTGATGCTCTGCTTACTTTTGGTATTGAGTGGCAATGAAGAAAGATCTCATTTCTAAAATGTGATTTAAAAAAAAAAAAAAGGATTTTAGTATAATTCAGAATGTTCTTTAGATTTTAATGCAAATTTATTACTGTGCTTCATTTTCTGCAAGATATGTTGAAACATTCATGTTCAAATGTAATACAGAAATTAATTTTGATTACCCAGGAATGTATCATCTCTATTCACATATTCAAGTTCAAGTAGTAAATACACGTAAAGATGTAAAATGGGGATATAAATTATGCTGGAGTAGGCAAGGTACGTATTCTATCGTTCATATGGTAAGTGTTGAAAGCATATGAAAAGCCTGTCCAGAATGGTCTCACAGACATTTAAAACACAACTTTAAATATTACTTTTACTATGTACTCAGAGTTAGTGTTTAAACCTTCCTGAATCAGACATTCTGGGTGACCTGAAAATTATATTGGGGCTCTTGAGATTGAAACTGGGACATTTCAGACCAAAAAACAGGACAAGCTTTATATGCATTTTTAAAACAATATGGATTATATTAGCATACTCAATTAAGGCAATATAAAAGGTGAATGTTTTTTCACTTTTTTCTTTTATTTTTAGTTGACACATAATTGTATATATTTATGGAGTACAGAGTCATATTTCAGTACATGTATACAGTCTGTAATGATCAAATCAGGGTAGTTAGCATATCCGTCATCTCAAATATTTGTCACTTCTTTAGGGTGGGAACATTCAAAATCCTCTTTTCCAGCTTTTTGAAAATATGCAATAAATTATTGGTAATTATATTCATTCTACAGTGCTATAGAACACTAGGATTTTTTCCTCCCGTCTAGCTGTAATTTTGTATCTATTAACTAATCTCTCCCTATCCCCTCCTCTCTCCTACCCTTCCCAACCTCTAATAACCACAATCTACTCTCTACTTCTATGAGCTCAATTTTTTTAGCTTTCGCATATGAGTGAAAACATGTAATATTTATCTTTCTGTGCTTGACTTATTTCACTTAACATAATATCCTTTAGACTCATCCATGTTGCTGTGAATTATAGGATTTAATTCTTTTTATGGCTGAATAGTATTCCATTGTGTACATATACCACGTTTTCTTCATCTATTCATCTGTTGATTAACATTTAGGTGGATTCCTTATCTTGGCTGTTATGAATAGTGCTGTAGTAAACATAGAGATGCTGATATCTCTTGGACATACCGATTTCCTTTCCATTGGATAAATACCTAGTAGTGGGATTGCTGGATCATATGATAGTTCTATTTTTGTGAAATATACATTCTGTTTTCCATAATGGCACTACAAATTTACATTCATACCAACAGTATTTTTTCATTTCCTTTCTGTTTAAACAAATAATACTTTTAATTCAGTTCAATTATACTTTATCCTTTAATTTTTCTTCAGCCTTTTACTTTAATTATAAAGAAGCAATATCTTTTCAAATTTTCCGTATAATGCTAATATAGTAAGTCAGAAGTTAGATATAAAACTATCAGAAATAATACCCAGATAACTTGAATACTTTTTTTCTGAAAAAAAATGTAAAAACTAAAAATATATTGTTTTCAAAACTGAAGGAATGTTATATATGTGCACCTGTATCTTCTCAAAGGTGTGTGTATGAGAATATTATCAAAATAGATATAAATACACATACAAGAAATTCTCATTCATGATATTAAATACCTAATTTTTGGCAGCTGCATATTTCTGAAGGCTCAGAATGAAGAGATAAGAGTGATGACATCATTGCATACTAATACTTAGCAAAGGACTCTAGAAGAGTGGGGCATAATAACTTATTATTCCTGCAGCTTTCTGATACTGGCCTGGCTTGTGAGCAAAAACTTAAAGACTTACTGTGTATCATATTAATATGGATGCTGAAATAGATTGTTTTCATAGGTTTATTCTTTTATAAACCAAAACTATATTGCATGTTATCAGAGTCGCCCTGCCAAAGCGCTTTTAAAGATATTATCACCATCAATAATATCAGAAGGAGAATAGATGAGGGTGTACTAAACTCATCAATTCCTTTTAGATAGCAAATAGTAGATCCTATTTCTCAGACATCTTCTTTCTTCACTGTATTACATTTTGAAATTTATGAAATGTACATACATGCAAAAGAATGCATATATGTATGTTATGAAGAATAATAATAAATACTCATGAATCTGCCCTCTAATTAAATAACTACAGCATTACCAATATTGTTTCAGTTACTTTTGAGCTCCTCTCCCATTTCATCAGCTTGCCTCCTCAAGGTGTTTATCATTTTATTTGTTCTTAAAATAGTTTCAGATACTTCTCTAAATGTATCATTTGATTATGCTTGTCTTTGAGCTTGTAACAATGCTGTCACTCTGTTTCTTACTGTTTTCAATTTATGTATTTCTGAATTCATGCATGTTTTCCTCTGTAGCTGTAGTTCATTCATTTTCACTGCATATAATATTGAATTCTGTGCATTATGTGCATACCCCAATATGATTATCCATTCTTCTTATCATGGACATTTGGGTATATACCTACATTTAAGTGTAATTACTAGGAGTGTAATTACTAGGCTATACAGTTTGCATATGCTCATCTTTACAGCTGTGAATATCATGTTCTCAAAATTTTATTGCTTATTATGTCTTGTACTTTCATTATCTTTCTACTATCTGAATTACTGTATTTGAGTCCTATTATGCAGTTCACCTTTGAAGAGGCTTTTATAGTTTTCTCACAAAGACCCTAAGAAGAGGTAACTTTTACCTTTATTCCTATACTACATATAGGGATACAGATGTAGAAAGGTGGGTTAGGCTATTTTTGATCCTCATGAGTGATAAAATAAACTTCAGAGGAGAGTCCCTGATATGCTACCATTTGTGATATACTGTGACTATTCTTTTTAAAGAACCAAGCCAACAGTAATAGTTCATTTAAGAAAAGATTTGCTGTGACAGACTTGGAAGCAGGAGTAGTCCCCATGCTCTTCTGTGTCTCCAGTGCCTGGCAAATAAGTGTTTGTTGAAAGAATGATGTAATTATTTTTCCCTTAAAAGTTCACCAAAAATGATTACAGAAATTTAGAAACTTTAGGAGTTTAGAATCAAGTAAAGAGCTGTTTCAAAGCACTGATGCCTGAACCCCATACTGGACCCATTAAATTAGACTCTTTGTGATGGGGTTTGGCATCAGTATTATAGAAGTGATGCCTCAAGTGATTCAAATACGAAGCCAAAGTTGATAGCAATTGTGCTATACTCATACTTTAGAAGGAGACAAATATGAGGTGGGAAAAAATGCATGTAATTAAGAACAGTGTTTCCCAAAGGAAACACTGGACCATGTTTCCATGGACCATGATTCATCTAAGGAGGCATACTAAAAATGCAGATTCTTTAGACTTTACCACAGGCTGAATGATTGAGAAGTGTGGATCAGGAGGTTCAATTATTTATAGGTGATAACAGCCCAGAGCCTATACATTTATAAAGGAGTCTGGTTAGTTTTCAATTTATAACTGTAGTTATTAGTGGGTTATAGTCCCTCTGTAGTAAATACATATCCAAAAGGATTAGGCGTGTTCTATGAAACATCAAATATAAGTTATTAAATAAAAAGTGGTTATTGCACACTTGTAATAAGAAAGAGAGAACCAATGCTAGAAAGTGGTGTGGTGGTAGTAGACAGGGGAAGGCACTAAGGTTAGTAAAACAAGAAGCAATAATAATCATTAGTAATGTTTTAAGCATTTATTATATCATATTGTACCATACATGAATTACATGACATAGATTTTCATACCTACACAAGATGAAAGCAGCAAACCAAATAAATTATAGTTACTATTAGGTTGGTGCAAAAGTAATCATAGTTTTTGCCATTACTTTTAATGCTTATTATGTCTTGTACTTTCATTATCTTCCTCCTCTCTGAATTACCATTTTTGTCATATGTCATAATATTAATATTACTTTTAATGGCAAAAAACACGAATACTTTTGCACCAACCTAATAGTTATAGGCACTGATTTATTAAGGCATTTCGCTTCTGCTGAAGAAGTAGTTTTTAACATCCCAGTCTGCTTAGGTTGGGTCAGAATGACCACCAACATCAGATAGGTAATTCAAATAAAATTAGGCCCTAACACAAGTAAAATAATGGATTGAAATTGTAAATGACAGCGGCAGGTTGAAGAACTGGTCAGAATCAAGTAATTAGGACAAGTGAGCACAAATCAAACTTATAAAATAAGTCAAAATTTATCTGTTAAAACCAGATTGGGCCAGGCGCGTTGGCTCATGCCTGTAATCCCAGCACTTTGGGAGGCCAGGGCGGGCAGATCACCTGAGGTCAGGAGTCAAGATCAGCCTGGCCAACATGGTGAAACCCTGTCTCTACTAAAATTACAAAAATTAGCCAGGCATGGTGGTTCATGCCTGTAATCTCAGCTACTCAGTACACTGAGGCAGGAGAATCACTTGAACCCAGGAGGCGGAGGTTGCAGCGAGCCGAGATCACACCACTGCACTCCAGCCTGGGCAGCAGAGTGAGACTCCGTCTCAAAAAAAAAAAAAAAAAAAGCCAGATTGGAAAAGACTAGATTTGCAAGGAGGTAGCAGAATGTAACCTTAGGTTGACTGTGGGTAACAGTATGTGAGGCTTGACATAGCACCGCTAAAAAAAAACACTAATAACCCATGAAATGAAGAGATACAGCCTGGAAAATTAACGAAATGGTTATTGCATTAAAATCTGCATTGGTTAGGTCTTCATATGCACATCTGTCTTATGTTTCCCTTCTATTGGTGCAGAGTTGTATTAGTCAAGGTATACTAGATTATGCTGCAGTGACAAACAACCTGAAAATATTAGTGGCTTTTAATAATGCTCATATCAAATGCCCATGCTCCATGTGCATCCTGGGTTGCTATAGCTTTACTCTATGTCCTATTCACTTCAAAGCCCAGGCTGATAGAGTAGTCTCTTCTAGAAAATTGCTGGTCATCATGGCAGAGGAAAAAGAGAACATGGTGAACCATGCATTGGCTCTTAAAGCTTCTGCATAAAAATGAGACCTAACACATCTACTCACAATTCACTGGTCAAAACAAGTCATATAGCCATGACTGACTTCAATGGCTCAAGGAAGTTTACTTTTCCCTTTAAAAAATGGCAGGTATATATTTGGAAATCATAATACAGTCTGCCACAGCAATCAATCTATGAAGAATTCCAGTATAACATTATACTAGAATTTTGAGGACAACAATATTTTTTATTTGAATGTAACCTCTCTCTCCTCAATACTGAAGTGTGTTTGTACTGTGTGTGTGTGTGTGTGTGAGACACAGAGAGAAAGAGGATCAGTCGGTATTTTAAGTGTAATCTGCTGGAATATGACTGGTAGGTTTCAGTGGGGGACAATAAATGACCTTTTGGATTTTGTCCAAGCACAAAATTCTGGTTAATAATCACTTGGTACTCGGCGTTAGTACTAGGAAACTTAAACAGATATGGATTCTATGGAATATCTCTTTTCAAGGTGTACCAAATTAAGCCTAGATTTAAGATAGTACTATTACTTGGACAATTTAGTATTTATTAGGATTTTTATATCTTGTCATCATCAATGATCTAAAACTATTTTTTGCATACGCGGACATAACTGGCGCTTTTTCAAATACTGCACACAATTACTGAAAAGAAATGATTCCATTTTTTACAAGAAAATGCAATCTAAATAGATAAAAGAGACAAACGTATAGGGCCTGAGGAATTGTTTAAACTGACAGTAGAAATTATATACCATACCATCTCTATTTTATGACAGCCAAGTGAATAATCTTGAATTAAAGAATTAATGTTGAATTTATATTTTTATTTATGATAGTATTTGATTTTAGTTTTGCTTTGCACCCTTTATTTGAGTTTATTACAAGGGAAAAAATGCCTCCCATTGCTTAGACCCTATAGAGTTTCCTTTCCTTGGGATATAGTAGATGGTCATTACCATAAGCAACTTGAATATCTGGAAGCTAGAGAGACTTTCTATTACAAAGAAATGTTAGCCTCATTCTATGACTATAAAGTTCTTGCTATCTTTTCTGTAATACAAATCTTGCAGTAAAGGCTCAACTATTTTTGTTAAATATATCTTCTGAGATCAAGCAGATTGAAGTTTAAAACCAAACTCACATACAAAATGTTTTAAAAACTGTGAAACTCAGTCTATTTTTGTATAAAATAGAAGTGTGAAGAAACTAAGTGTACTGTACTAGCTTTGCAATTAGAAATTTTATTTTCAACAATATGGCTTTATGAGTTGCATTTTTATACTCATATGTAAAATCAATGTGTAATATTTATTACAGAAAGTGAAAATAGAGAATCAGTGCAATAAAATATTGATAACAGATAAATTCAGATTATAGAGTGTACAGAGAACCTTGAGAAAGTAAAGAGACATTGAAGTTGAATATGGGGTTCCTTCTCTGAAAATATTAACAATCTAATGGGAAAGACTAAGACTAGCAAATAAATAACTGATGAAAACATAAAATATCTAGAACTAGAAATACCATTTGACCCAGCCATCCCATTACTGGGTATATATCCAAAGGACTATAAATCATGCTGCTATAAAGACACATGCACACCTATGTTTATTGCGGCACTATTCACAATAGCAAAGACTTGGAGCCAACCCAAATGCCTAACAATGATAGACTGGATTAAGAAAATGTGGCACATATACACCATGGACCACTATGCAGCCATAAAAAATGATGAGTTCATGTCCTTTGTAGGGACATGGATGAAATTGGAAATCATCATTCTCAGTAAACTATCGCAAGGACAAAAAACCAAACACCGCATGTTCTCACTCATAGGTGGGAATTGAACAGTGAGAACACGTGGACACAGGAAGGGGAACATCACACTCTGGGGACTGTTGTGGGGTGGGGGGAGGGGGGAGGGATAGCATTAGGAGATATACCTAATGCTAAATGACGAGTTAATGGGTGCAGCACATCAGCATGGCACATGTATACGTATGTAACTAACCTGCACATTGTGCACGTGTACCCTAAAACTTAAAGTATAATAATAATAAAATAAAATAAAAAGAAAGCATAAAATATGTAAAGCTAGTAGAGTTATCTGGTAGACCATTCAAAACCATTTAGGCCTTGTCTCATGACATGCAAAATAAACAAACTTAGTTCATAATGGGAATTAACTCACTGCCTCTTCAGGCTGTCAAAACACAGCTATTAAAGTTACAAGACAGCTATTAAAGTTACAGGGATTACAGTCTCAATCTAATGAATGAATGAATGAATGCATGAATTTATTTATTTTCCCCAAGATGGAGTCTCACTCTGTCACCCAGGCTGGAGTGCAGTGGCGCAATCTCGGCTCACTGCAACCTTCACCTCCCAGGTTCAAGCAATTCTCCTGCCTCAGCCTCCCAAGTAGCTGGGATTACAGGGGTGCGCCACCATGCTCGGCTAATTTTTTGTGTGTTTTTAGTAGAGACGGAGTTTCACCATGTTGACCAGGTTGGTCTCGAACTCCTGACCTCATGATCTGCCTGCGTAGGCCTCCCAAAGTAGTGGGATTACAGGCATGAGCCACCATGCCTGGCCCACTCTAAATGAATTTTCTAATCGTTGATAACCTTGACATTTTTACTTCAGTCTTGAAATTTTGATTTTTTTGGTTTGTTAAAGACCCATATGAATGCTGAAAAAACAATTAGCCTTTCTTTTGCCTGTACCCTCACGTCTCTATATGCTAAAAAATTATTTTACACACTCATTCAATTATTGGGGCGTTAGTTTTTCATTGTGAAGTAAAAGACTAGAGTAGTTGGAGCTAACTTTAGATGACCTTGTGGGAGAGAACTGGAATAGAATTTTGTAGAGGAATATTATGCAAGATGTGGAAGAATTGGCCGTGTTCACTGACAGAAGAACAAAGTAGTTCTCAGCCATTTTACAAGCATGACTTATTTTATTTTATTTTATTTTATTTTATTTTATTTTATTTTATTTTATTTTATTTTATTTTATTTTGCAGACCCCATGTGTTAAAAAAAATTTAAGGCTTTTGAACTACATTTCTATAATAATAATAATTTCCCTAATTTTTAATTAATGATGTGTAACCACTAGTCAGCAGGAGACAACCAGTGTTACCAAAGTCAGTTTGTGCAATATATGGTTTCTCTTGCCCTTTTTGAATTACCCATAGTGGTTCTCAGGCCACACTCCTCCAGAGTTATCTCTATATACTATCCTGGAAAATATGAGTAATAATATCTTCATCTTTTATTTTATAATTTGGAAAAAATTAAATGACAGAAAGAAATGGAGAATAATGTAAGAAGCAGACATGGACCAACACTTCAAATTGATAAATATTAAGATATGGTCATATTTGCATCAGAACTTTTTTATAAAGTTGTTTGTATTTCTGCTCAGGCCCCTTCCTCAGAGGCATGCATGAGCATTGGCATGTATCCTTTTGGTTGATATTTATATACTTTGCTATACATATATGCAGAAACAATATATTTTACTTCTCAATTTTAGTCAACAATGAAACATCATGGAGTTTAAACAGAAGGATGTGGGATTATGATAGGATAATTAAAGTGGTTCAGAAGTTTGATATAGTAGTCATATCAGACCCTGCTTGAAACTCCTTGATGGCTTGCTCATTAGCCTCAGGATAAAACTCATATTATTTAACAGACTTTCAAGGCAACACATTATTAGATTTCCAAAGTTTTCCCTCTTCAGTTCATCTCTCCATATTTCTCTTTCATATCTCATGCCCTTGTTGCTCTGTATGCCTCAGCCATAGGACCTTTTAAGTTTTTAAAATTTTCAGTCTCTAAAGCTGTATTAGTCCATTCTTGCATAGGTTTAAAGAGCTACCTGAGTCTGGGTAATTTATAAAGAAAAGAGGTTTAATTGACTCAAAGTTCTGCAGGCTGTACAGGAAGCATGGCTGGGAGACCTCAGGAAACTCACAATCATGGCAGAAGGTGAAAGGGAAGCAGGCACATCTTACATGGCCAGAGAAGGACAAAGAGAGAGCAAGGGGGAGGTACTACATACCTTTCAACAACCAGATCTCGTGAGAACTCACTCACTATCACAAGAACAGCAAGGGGGAAACACACCTCCATGATTTAATCACATCCCACCAGGCACCTCCTCCAACACTGGGGATCACAATTTGACATGAGTTTTGGGTGGGGACACAAGTCCAAACCATATCCAAAGCCTTTCCACATATTTGTTTTGCCCAGTACAATTCTTCCAACTTTAGTTCCTCTCATCCTTCCAACCTCAATTTACACATCACTTCCTCTGGGAAGTTCCTCTGATCCTTCCAAAATATGACACCAGAGCCCAATTAAGACATTTTAGAAGCCTCAAATACTAAAAGTCATATAGGTTATATGACTGTTGCCCTACCACCATATTATTCACAATAAACACAATATTAAGTGCAATGAAGTCTGAAATTTCGGTTTCCTAATAGTGACTATTTTGATGATTTTATTCTTTGAGGTATTGAGTATCATGTTATTTGACAAAATCAAGTTACTTGTTTGCTTACTGCACAGCAGTCTGTTCTTAACCCATCATGGTGCTTATTAAATAATCTTATTGTTTTTCTGCACATTTTACTAGACTGTAAACAATTTGACGGTAGGAATTATGTATTGTTCAACATCCTATCCCCAGAACAAGGACAATGCCTGGAACATGGATATTGATCAATAAATATTTGTTAAATGAAAAAATCAATGTTAACCTAGTTTCTCATGGTTTACAATTACTTATTCAAAAGCCTTGCCTTCTCTAAGTTTATTCTTAGAGATGAGCAATTCCGACCTAAAAGGACGTGAAGATCAAGTTATTCCTGTGTGTCGCACTCACTGTATAACAGAGTGGATCTTCAGATGAGGGAAAACATGAATATAAACTATGTCTAAAGGTACATCTGTTTGTATAATATTTTACAATTTATGAAGTATTTTCAAATATACCATCTCATTTGGTCTTTATAATACACTTGGGAGGCAGATATTTTTGTCTAAGTTTCAGATATAAGGTAGCAGGCTGGGACAGGTTAAATGACCTGCAAAGTTATGTGGCAGTAAGGCAGGACTAGAACTCAAGTCCACATCTTTTGACTCTAAATAACCTCTCTATATGGAAACCTGTGGATCAGTTTATCTATGGCTATAGAGCAATATAGTTCTTTCTGTCACTGAAAATTCCTAACCTGAATGCTTATTCATGATGATCAAAGTAAAGCAATAGTGCAATTAGAATATATCTTCCAACTGACTGGTAAATCAATGGATTTTATATTTCAAAGGAAAAAAAGTAATCTTAGTATTTTTCTCTCTTACATATCTTCTAGAGCCTTTACAAACCTGAGAGTGTCTATATACTCATTCTTACTACTTTCTGAGTTTTTGGCATCGATAATGTTCTAGGTTTTTATAGTGAGATAAAAGTGTTAAAGTATTGGATTTGAGTCTCAGAAAACATGAAAATCCAACTATTTTTATTTTATTATTAAACAAACATATTAATGATTTTATGTGACATTTTTGCATAAAGCTTCTACAGAGTCTTCTTTCTATGGTTTCAGTATGTAACCAATAAGTCATTTTTATGTAAAGATGTTTGCTTTACCCAAGAGATTGTAAATGAAACTTTTATACCCAAAGCCATTCTGTAATGAAGATTACCTTATGTAACAGATTGAATGAAAGCAAGTCAGAAATAAATCTTTGTAGAAAACCTTATTGACAAAATTCTCCCTCATTCTTTTTTAATCCCCTTAAATCATATTGCCACCAGAGAGATTGATGTCAGTGGCATATTTGATCATAACACTCTTCTGCTTATACCCCTTCAGGGGTACCCCCTTAGTGTACAAGATAAATTTTAAGTTCTTTCAAAATGGTCAAGTACCAGCCTATTTCATCAGCCTCATTTCACTTCTTCTTGCTTTACAATTCATATTCTAGTAAGAACAAACTATGTTTAGCTCCCTGCATAAATCTGGTTCTCAGCCCTATGCCTTTTTAATCATGCTATTCCCCTTGTCTTGACTATTCCTCAGCTTTTATCTGGATAACTCCTGTTTATTCCTCCAGATTCTACTCATGCTTCTCTTTAAAATAAATGCCTTTCTCAGACTGCTTACCTAGGTGGTAGTCTTTCCTTCCTTAACACCCTCTACTCATGTCTTTCTTTACAGCTACTAATTTATATTTTTCCAGCTCTATTGAGGTGTGATTGACACATTAAAATTGTACATATTTAAGACATACAACATGATGCTTTGATGTATGTACACATTATGAAATAATTACCACAAACAAGCTAATTAACATATTCATCACCTCACATAGTTTCCTGTGTATGTGTGTGTGTCTCTGTGAGGTAAGAGCACTTGAAATCTACTCTCTTAGCAAATGTCAAGCATGCAATACATTATTATTGACTACTGTCACCATGCTGTACATTAGGTCTCCAGAACTATTCATCTTATGACTGAAAGTTTGTGCCCTTTGACCATTATCTCCTCCCACCCTGTCCATTGTAACCACCATTCTACTCTCTGTTACTGTGAGTTTGACTTCGTTTTTTAGATTTCATATATAAATGAGATCACACAGTATTTGTCTTTCTATGTCTGGCTTATTTCATTTAGCATGATGTCCTCTTGGTTCATCCATGTTGTTGCAAGTGGGAGAATATCCTTCTTTTTAAAGGAAGATTAATATTTCATTGTGTGTGTGTATGTGTGTATCACATTTTCTGTATCCATTCATCTTATGTAGTACACTTAGATTGTTTCTATATCTTGGCTACTGTGAGTAATGCTGCAATGGGAAACCAGACATCTTTTCAATATAGTGATTTTATTTCCCTTGGATATATACTCAGAAGTGGGATTGCTGGATAATATAGTCGTTCTATTTTTAATTTTTTTGAGAAACCTCCATACTGTTTTCCATAGTGACTGTACCAATTTACGTTTCCACCAACAGCAGACAAGAATTCTCTTCTCTACGTTTTTGCCATTACTTCTTATCTTTTGACATTTTGATTATAGCCATTCTAACAGGAGTGAGATGATATCTCATTGTGGTTTTGCTTTGCATTTTTCTGATAATTAGCAATTTTGAACATTTTTTCATATACCTAATGGCCATTTGTATGTTGTTTTTGGGAAAATATCTAGTCAGGTCCTTTGCCCAGTTTTTAATCAGGTTATTTGTTTCTATTTTTGCTGTTGAGTTGTGTGGGTTCCTTACATATTTTGGATATTAACCCCTTATTGGATACATGGTTTGCAAATATTTTCTCCCATTCTGTAGGTTGCCTTTTCATTTTGTTGATTCTTTCTTTTGCTGTGCAGAAACTTTTTGGGTTGATGTAGTCCTGCTTGTTTATTTTTGCTTTTATTGCCTGTGACTACAAATTTATATTGTACTATATACACATTTTTGCGATTTTTCTTTCCTGCTACCCTTTGAGCTCTTTGCATCTTCTTTCCTTGGGAATTTTATTTCGGTATTTTTCTACCCTTGTATCTTTTGGATGGTCTGTGCATATTTTTCTCTAGACCACTAAGTAAAATAACATATAACTTGGCATAATCTATTGGTAAGAAGTCAATAATCAATAAACACCATGCCAAGAATAGAACATTTCATTATTCTTTTGTAGTTAGGTAAGACGCATTGATATTTTTTGTTAAACATCATTGTATGATACATCATGATATTGATTAATGTATTTTAGCGATTCAAGCACATAACGCATTTCAAAGGTAATGATAATCTGTAAATGTGTGCAGATACAAGTATACCAGTGTATGTGGTAGGTGGAAAATTACTACAGTTGTGGGTATGGAGACACTGCAAGTACAGAATTATGGAATCAGGGCCTTGTTCACTTGGAAGGAAACTTAGGAGTCATCTTAATTCAGCTGCTTTTGAAATTTGTGTGTGGATCATGATAATAACAGCTAACATTTGCATGTTTTGTAATTTACAAAACATTTCCATATCACTTGATGTTCATAGGCAGTTCAACAGAGTTGTTATTGTTATGATGCTCTTGACAACTCTACAAAGAGAATTGGTTTCATTGTACTGTGCTGCTATTGTAGATTTCATAATAGACTGGAATCTGCTGTTTGCTGAAGGAATAAGAAGGGATACATCTTGTTAGTACAACTGAATCCCTCCATGTTTTCTTCCAGATGTGGCCTTTACTGTTATTTGTTTGGAATTTTTGTTAAATGGCTTCCTGTTTTGTAACTGTTGGGTGGACTGTAGTATATTTCTCTAGACCTGCACTGCATCTAACACCACAGTAACCACTAGCTGCATTTGGATATTGAAATGTAAATTTAAATCAATTAAAATTAAGTAAATTCGATTCCTCATTTGCATGAGCCACATTTCAAGTGCTCAATAACCACGTGTTTCTAATGGTTATCAAATTGAACAGAATAGACAAAGAACATTTTTGTTATCCCAGAAAGTTTTATTGGACAGTGCTACTCTAGACCATTGCTATATGTATGCATCTTGATGAAGTTGTCATCTGTCAGTAGTTAAGCTGGGATGCTGTAAGGCAGAAATCTGTAAAAGTAATCAGACTGACAATAAGTGGTAAATGGATGAGGATTGTTCTAGCTTATTACTAAAAATGGAATAGTCCCTCTCCCCTATGGAAAAGTTGTTAGAAACTTTTTTGAATGTAAAAGACTGTAAAATGACTTAAAACTAGTGAAAAACTGAAGTTTTGCTTTCTTTTTTAACTTTTAAGATCAGAGGTACAAGTTAACATTTGTCACATAGTGTATGTGTCATGGGGGTTTGTTGTATAGATTATTTCGTCACCCGGGTATTAAGCCTAGTACCCATTAGTTATTTTTTCTTTTTCTCTCCCTCTTCCCACCCTCCACCTTCCAATAGGCCCCAGTTTCTGTTATTCCCCTCTATGTGTCCATGTGTTCTCATCATTTAGCTCCCACTTAAAGTAAAAACATGTGGTATTTGGTTTTCTGTTCCTGTGTTAGTTTTCTTTTTACAAAATAAATTTTGCTTTTGTTGTTCTTCAGCTCATTGTGGCCAATACTATATCACAGTATCTTTTTCCTCTGAGGAATAAGCAGCTCATGTCAACATTTTCTACTCCTGACAATATTCTTCATCCTTTTTTTTTTTTTTTTTTTTTGAGACGGAATTTTGCTGTTGTCCACCAGGCTGGAGTGCAGTGTCACAATCTCAGCTCACTGCAATGCCCGCCTCCTGGGTTCAAGTGATTCTCCTGCCTCAGCCTCCCAAGTAGCTGGGATTACAGGTGTGCACTACCACCACCCGGCTACTTTTTGTATTTTTGGTAGAGACAGGGTTTCACCATGTTGGCCAAGCTGGTCTCGAACTTCTGACCTCAAGTGATTCACCCGCCTCGGCCTCCCAGAGTGCTGGGATTACAGGCGTGAGCCACCAAGCCAGGCTATCCTTAAGCTTCACCAGATTTGTGCCTCCTTGCCCCTGGTTGATAAATTTGCCACATTTGTTATACTGTTTTAAGAAGATGGAAAGTATTAGATATATTCTTGATTCATTTATTTTTCCCTTTAATATCACACTTCAGTCAGCTAGTCTCCTTTCTTCATATTTGTCATGTCAACTCCTCCAATGATGCGTTCTGCTTGGTGTGTATATAGTACTAGATCTTCCATCTCCTAATACACTCTCCCAACAAAAATGACAAGAATCATGTTATATAGAGCATACTTATATATTCTTTGCATTTATAATCTTTACATCAGCTGAGTTATATAAATATGTTTATCTGGATTTTTGTAAATTACTGTATCATGATAAATGCTAAACTGCCTATCTTCTTTTTTTCATCACTTTGACCCTGCTTCTCAAAAAACTATGCTTATAGTTCCTTTCCTACTTTGAAATATTTCTTAGAAGACCAGTTTATATAAGTACTCTTACTTGTACATCTAAACTCCTCACATTGTCTTTTTCAACTACTCCATCTCCATTATTAAATTAAAACTGATTTTTAAAGCTTCTTGCTGTCATTTTTCTCTGACTCTTACTTAAATTAGACACTGTTTTTCCCTTCTCCCTTTCCAAAACTCTTTTCTTGTCTCTGTAATATCACTTTCTTCATTTAATCCTGGCCATGGGATTAATTCTTGCTCTGGCTCCTAAACAAGCATTGTCTGAGGTTTTATCCTCAGCCGTCTTCCCACCATACATACTCTGTTCTGGTGAAGTCATCATTGTTGTTTTCTTGTAGCTTTAACTATCCCTTCAATGTCAGTATCTTCAAGATCTGGCTCTGTTTCCATTCTAATTCAGTTTTATCAAATGCTTGCCAGACAATTGTATGTAACACGTTCTGTTTTCAGCCGCTTCTAATTTTATGTGCACAAAATAAAATTGTTTTAATCTCCTCGATTTCCTTTCTCCATCTCTACTATACCATTCATCCATCCATTTCCTCAGGCTTGAACACTTAGAGTAATGTTTAACTTTTCCTTCTCCATTATTTCTTGTTTATTAATTTGCATATTTCAAATTTTTTGTGGATACGTAGTAAGCATATATATTATGGAATACATGAGATGTTTGATGCAGGCATGCAATGTATTCATAATCACATCATGGAAAATGAGGTATGCATCCCCTCAAGAATTTATCTTTCATGCTATAATCCAATTATACTTTTTAAGTTATTTTTAAGTGTACAATTAAATTATTATTGACTATAGTCACACTGTTGTGCTATCAAATACTAGATCTTATTAATTGTTTCTAACTGTATATTTTTTGTACCCATCCCCACTTCTCCTCCACCCCCACTGCTATATTTCCCAGCCTCTGGTAACCATCTTTCTACTCTCTATCTTCATAGGCTCAATTATTTTGATTTTTAGATCCTGCAAATGAGTGAGAACCTGCAGTGCTTGTCTTTAGGTGCCTGGCCTGTTTCACTTAACATAATGATCTCTAGATCCATAGATGCTGTTGCAAATGACTGAATCTCATTTTTAATGGCTGAATAGTACTCCATTGTACTACATTTTCTTTATCCATTTATCTGTTGGTAGACACAGGTTGCTTCAAAATCTTGGCTATTGTGAACAGAGCTGCAAAAAACATGAAAGTGCAGATATCTTTTTAATATCCTGATTTCCTTTCCTTGGGTATATACCCAGAAGTTGGATTGCTGGATTATGTCACAGCTGTATTTTTAGTTTTTTAAGGAACCTCCAAACTGTACTCCATCGTGATTGTACTAATATACATTCCCACCAACAGCGTACAAGGTTCCCTTTTCTCCACATCCTCACCAGCATTTGTTATTGTCTGTCTTTTGGATATAAGCCATTTTAACTGGGGTGAGATGCTATGTCATTTTAGTTTTGCTTTACATTTTTTTGATGATCAATGATGTTGAATACCTTTGCATATGCCTGATGGCCATTTGTATGTCTTCTTTTGAAAACTGTCTATTCAAATCTTTTGCCCATTTTTTAATCAGATTATTAGATTTTTTTTTCTATAGCATTGTTTGAGCTCCTTACAGATTCTGGTTATTAATTGCTTGTCAGATGGGTAGTTTGCAAATATTTTCTCCCATGTTGTGGCTTGTCTCTTCACTTTGTTGATTGTTTCCTTTGCTGTACAGAAGCTTTTTAACTTGATGTGATCCCATTTGTCCATTTTTGCTTTGGTTGCATGTGATTGTGGGGTAATACTCAAGAAATCTTTCCCAAGACCAATGTCATGGAGAGTTTCCACAATGTTTCCTGGCAGTAGTTTCATAGGTTGAGGTCTTAGATTTAAGTCTTTAATCCATTTTTATTTGAATTTTGTATATGGCGGGAGATACAGGTCTAGTTTCATTCTAATGCCCATGGATATCCAGTTTTCCCAGCACCATTTATTAGAGAGACTGTACTTTCTGCAGTGTATATCCTTGGCACCTTTGTTGAAAATGAGTTCACTGTAGGTGTGTGGATTTGTTTCTGGGTTGTCTGCTCTGTTTTTACTGGACTCTGTGTCTGTTTTTATGCCAGTACCATGCTGTTTTAAATACTCTATCTCAGTAGTATAATTTCAAGTCAGGTGTTGTGATTCCTCCAGTTGTGTTCTTTTTGCTTAGGATAGCTTTGGCTATTCTTTTGTGGTTCCGTATACATTTTAGGATTTTTTTTCTATTTTTTCTATTTCTGTGAAGAATGTCATTGGTATTTTGATAGGGATTGCATTGAATCTGTAGATTGCTTAGGTAGTGTGGACATTTTCAGAATATTGATTAATCCAAGAACAAGCAATATCTTTTCATTTTTTGGTGGCTTCTTCCATTTCTTTTATCAGTGTTTTGTAGTTTCCATTACAGAGATCTTTCACTTCTTTGATTATGTTAATTTCTAGATATTTAATTTTATTTGTGGCTATTGAAAATGGGATTATTTTTGTTTTCTTTTTCAAATTTTTCACCGTTGGTATGTAGAAATGCTACTGATTTTTGTATGTTGATTTTATATCCTGTATGTTTGACTAAACTTGATCATCAATTCTAATAGTTTTTTCTTGGAGTCTTTAGATTTTTCCCAATTTAAGATCATTATCATCTGCAAGCAGTGGTAATTTGACTTCTTCCTTCCCAATTTGGATACACTTTATTTATTTCTGTTGCCTAATTGCTCTGGCTAGGACTTCCAGTACTATGTTGAATAGCAGTGGTGAAAGTGGGCATCCTTGTGTTCTAGATCATAGAAGAAAGGCTTTCAGTTCTTCCCGATTATGATATTAGCTGTGAGTCTATCATACATGGCTTTTATTATGTTGAGGTATCTTTCTTCTATACCCAGTATTTTTTTTTTTTTTTTTGAGACAGACTCTCACTCTGTCGCCCAGGTTGGAGTACGGTGACGTGATCTCAGCTCACTGCAACCTCTGCCTCCTGGGTTCAAGTGATTCTCCTGCCTCACCCTCCCAAGTAGCTGGGACTACAGGGGCGTGCCACCACACCCGGCTAATTTTTTAGTAGAGATGGGGTTTCACTGGTGTTAGCCAGGATGGTCTCGATCTCCTGACCTTGTGATCCGCCCGCCTCGGCCTCCCAAAGTGCTGAGATTACAGGCATGAGCCACCGAGTCCGGCTCTATACCCAGTCTTTTGAGGGTTTTTATTATGAAGGGATGTTGAATTGTATCAAATTCTTTTTCAGCATCAATTGAAATGATCCTTTGATTTTTGCCCATCATTCTTTTGGTATGATGTATCACACTGACTGATTTTTGTATGTTGAACCATCCTTGCAACCCAGGAATAAATGACACTTGGTCATGATGAATGACCTTATTAATATATTGTGGAATTTGGTTTGCTAGTATTTTGTTGAGGATTTTTACATCAGTATTCATCAGATATTGGCCTGTAGTTTTCTTTCTTTGGTGTGTCTTTGTCTGGTTTTGGTACCAGGGTAATATTGGCCTTGTAGAATAAGTTTGAGTGCTCCCTCCCCTGCCCCCTCTATTTTTTGGCATAGATTGAGTAGGATTGGTATTTGTTCTTTAATGTTTGGTAGAATTCAGCAGTGAAGCCATTATGTCCCCAGCTTTCCTTTTTGGGAGACTTTTTATTATGGCTTCGATCTCATTGCTTGTTATTGGCCTCCTCAGGTTTTAGATTTCTTCATGGTTAAATTTTGGCAGGTTGTGTGTGTCTAGGAATTTATCTATGATTTTCCAATTTATTGCCATGGATGGATATCGCTGCTGCTAGTTATTCAGGGCCCAAGAGCTTTTCAGTTAGCAGGTGATGCATGCTACCTGGACTGGGTCCTTCCCCTTAAGGCAACAGGTTCCCTTTTGACCCAGAGTGCATCTAGAAATGTCTATCAGGAGCTAGGGCCTGGAAAGGGGGCCTGAGGACTCTGACTGGTACCCTATCCTGCTGTGGCTGAGCTGGTATCCCAAGACGCAAACAAAGTCTTCCCCACTCTTCCATTTCCTCTCCCCAAGTGAAAGGAAGGGGCCTTCTTTGGAGCCACGAGCTATGCAACCTGGGGTTAGGGGAGGGTTGATGCCGGTGCTCCCTTAGCCATCCCAGCTGGTATCTCAGTAAGTTGTGTGCCGCCCCCCTAGTCCACTGTCTCTGGGCCCAGCTTAGCACTAGGACTTGCCTAAGAGTTGCTGTCCTTGTGGCCTAGACGGCTTTTGCAGTTTATTTGGGGCCCCACATCGCTGTAGCCCATGGTGGCGAAGCTTGTGGAAACTCAAGTTCAGATGGCTGGGATTGGTGATTGATTCCCCTCTGGTTAGGACTCGTTTAAATGCTCCCTCCATGGGTGAACATCAGCTGAATTTGGTTCAGTTTTGTTTTCTGCTATAACAACGTCAGAGCTGAGTTTAATGCCTCAGAATTACTGGCTTTCTTTCTCCCCAGTGCACAGAAACACTCTCATCATCAGGCAGCTGCTGCCCAGGTTTGGGGGAAAGGGGGCATTGGCAATTGAAGACTGTTTTTCCTACCTCTTCTGTGCCTCTTTCAATGATATGAAGTTAAAACTAGGTATTGTGAGTACTCACCTGATTTTTGGTTCTTATGGAGATGTTTTTTTCTGTGGAGATAGTTGTTAAATCGGCTGGGGGGACAATCCCTCCTCCACCCTTTCTAGAGATAAAACATCCACTTTAGTATGTCTAGGAAGATACACAACTTTGCGGAGATTCCCATAACTGAGATATGGCACAAAAATTACTCTTAAGGGGCTATGAAGAATGGAACAAGAGATGACTATGGGAGTTGTTAGCTGGACAAGAACATTTCATCTCTACAGACCCCTCAACCCTCACTCACAACTCACATTGCTGTATATCATCAACTATTATATTAGATAGGCTGCCTTGACTTCAACTCTTCCCCAAGGAAAGTCAAGAGAAATTATAAACTGACTGAGTTAAGTTTTTGAAAGAGATTCAAAATGGAAATTAAATTGTTATAGAAAAATTGAAATTGCTTTTCTTTTAAAACAAAAACAAAAATTTTCTTCAACCTAACATTGGTAGCTCTCCATAATATGCCCCATATTATTTTCTCTGCCTTCTTTCCCACTGCATTTTCCCCACATAGCTTAAATTTTAACCAAATCAGTCTGCTTACTTCTTATTGACTGTGCATTTGTTCAGTGTGTTCACACACTTTGAAATGTTCTTTCTCCCTAAACCTTCAAATTCCAGATTTGAAAGCCATTTAGGGCCAGGTAAAATATCATTTCCTTCACTTAGTTAATCCAGGATTATCAGAATTTATCTCCTTTTTAATGGGATCTTTTGTTAGAATTTATCTTATCTACCTTCTATTTGTATTTGAATGTTTTCTCCCCTCCTACTTAATGAAATTGTGATGGCCAAATACCAAGGGTAATTTATCCCTCATTACATAATAGTATCTGGAACTGAATTGCATTTAGATGACAAAAAACATGTTGGTGAACTGAATTGTGACTTCAATAAATAAATGAATGCAAGGAAGAGAGGAAGGCAGGGAGGGAGGAGAAAAAAAAGGAAAGGAAAAGTATAATATTCATTGCTTAAATTAACCCCTTAGGCATGTAAAGACATTTTGATAATAATAGAATATGTTGAAGTGTTGAGTATGAAGGTACCATTATCAAAGGTTTACATAGATGGATTATTTATATATTACTTCTAAGTAAAACAATATTTTTATATTATTTGTAAAAGTATACAATATATACACAAAAATAAGACATATGGAAATTTATGGCATTTATAAAGTTCCATGAAATATAATAGTATTATTATTAGAGATATACACTATTTCCCTTCACTATCTCTCTTTATATATTTACTATTAATAACATATGCACTGTTCTTATGATTATAATATACAATTGATGAGAAATATTACTTGTTCTGAGCATTGTGACCCACCAGGCGCTTAAAACTTGTTGACAAAGTATGGAGCATCAGTGGTAATATGTAGGAGTAAAAATTGTTCTGTTATTCTGCTCAGTATAGCAATTGCATCATTGTTTCACAGAAAGGATAACATTATGATCCTGTGTGGGTGTATAGCTCATCTGTGGGAGGATGTTTCTGTGCATACTTAGTGATCAAAATTCAAGAAACACGCCTCATTTTTATGAATATTTTCTCATTAGGAATTTGGCTCATGTAAATGCATCACATAATTTGTAGAAGCATTATATGGAAAAGGAAAAAGAAGAAATGAATTTTTTTTGCATATACAATAAAAGCTTGAGCTACTGAAGAGAATTCCTGGTAGTATATAGTATCGTGACTGGAAACCCAGTCTTTAAAAACTAAATTTAATTCTAACCTAAAAATAACTGGAATGTCAGAGGTGTACCTTTCCACAGCATGAATAGGTTTGTAAAGTATAGATTTATCCATATGCAATGCTATTTTCTCTTTAAAACTTGAGATATCTTTTGGGAAAGGATTTGGCCCCAAGTATTAATAAAACCCATACTTTAGAAGCAAGTATTTTAAAATCACCTGTTGATGGAAGTAAAATAACTTAGTAATAAATAAACCCCCCCAAAGTACCTAGAGCTATTTAAATACTTAACATGATGAAATGAATGCCATAAAATTACAGCTTAACAAAATATAACATAGTCATTTAGTTTCTATTCTTCTCCCTAATATAAAGTAGCAGGTTAATATGCATTCTCTCTGTTTGGTTTTGTTGTTCTTTTTTTTGTTTTGAGGCAGAGTCTCACTCTGTCACCCAGGCTGGAGTGCAGTGGTGCAATCTTGGCTCACTGCAACCTCTACCTCCCAGATTCAAGCGATTCTCCTACCTCAGCCTTCCGAGTAGCTGGGATTACAGGCATGTGCCACCACACCCAGCTAATTTTTGTATTTTTAGTAGAGACGGGGTTTCACCATGTTGGCCAGGCTGGTCTTGAACTCCTGTCCTCAAGCGATCCGCCCACCTAGGCCTCCCAAAGTGCTAGGATTATAGGCATGAACCACTGTGCCTGGCTTCTATTTTTAATATGCTGCATCCTCACCCTTTGTGGAAAGCCTCTGGGTTTCAATAACTAGCAAGCCGATCTTGCTGAAAGAAGGTAGAGATACAAACAAGTAGAAGCAACTGTTCCACATAAAGAAAGAAATAAGTTTAATGGGAAAAAATAATGAATTGGGGGAACGTGCAATCAAAATACAATTCTGAGGATCTCAGAACTATTTGGAGTGAGCTGGCAGATAATGTTATAAAAAGCAGGTTACCAGTTTATGGATTCTATATATTTGATAATTTTGGGATAGCTTTGGTGTTCCTGTATCACATGGTAATCCTATAAAATAGATCAAGTGTTTCTCGAAATACCATCTTTATAAATATCATCTTGGAGGCCTCACTCTGAATCAACTAGATCCGTACTTCTGGGAATCTGCATTTTAACCCACCCCTCAAATGATTCTTATATATGCAGAAGTAAAATCTGAAAATTACTATAGTAGCTTAACTGAGTGTGGTTACATTGCTTTTGTGATGATGCCATTATTTTCTCTTTCTAAAGACCCACTGTTTCCAAGACCCAGTTAAAAGCCACCTTTCTTGATTTGTTTTAACACAGAGTTTAGTTTCTTCCTCCTCTGCTCCTCTAGCTCCCATAATTGTGCCTTTGTTACACTAATCAAGAGTATCCCAAATCTCTTAATGCAGATTTAAACTTTAATAACTTTACATACGTAAGTGCTACAACCTTACCAAAAACATTATTTAAAATTTATTTAAATTTATTTTACAATCATTTAGTTTTGTTTATTTTAAATAGTAAGTTCTTAATTTTAATATTTATATGTGGCATTTTTTTGGACTGGTAGAAAAACTTGACCACCTCAATCACCTCATATATCTCCCTTAAACTTTCTTTTGCAGGGTCATGTCAAAATAGTTGAGTGTGCACCAATATTTTATTCTTCAAATAATCTTAAATCTAGGATCACAGATGTCATCCTTTCTGTCACTAACCCACAGCTGGTAGAAGTTTTTGAAAAGTTTGAAATTTGACTAGAGCAATGTATAGTACAACCCAGTATACTATATGTTGAATTTTATTTCCTGTTGAATGTTAATAAAAATATATTAATATCTTAAAATTTTAAATAATTGGCCTTTTATCTATTGATTTGTGTAATGGTGTATCATTTATACTTCTAAAGTTAAAAATACTTAAAACAGCATGAATACTTTGAAATTCTGTGTTTTAACTTATTTGTGTGAATTCCTATCTCCCTAAACAGCACTTCTCTAAGTCAGGGGCCATGTTTTATTCATCCTTTTGTCTCTAGTACAGTTGATTAATATTTGCTGAATCAAGGGGAAAAATATGTCTATTTTATATTGTCTAATTAATTTAGTATATTCAATATTATTTAAATATTACTAACTATATTTAGATATAGGTAGCACATTTAAAATGTAATATTAATATAGCATCAAACATATATTTAATAGTATTTGTTGTGTTTCCATCCATTGCAGTTATTATCCTTTTAGATGCTCAAATTGTTCCATGTTTGACTAGGGGGAATCTCTTCATGTTGAGTCCTGAGTCCTACTAAAACAGGAGCCAACTCCTGTGTAGTGGTAGTCTTGACAGATTACTCCTAGTAGTCTTTGATAACTTCCTTCTGTCTTGTATCACAGTATAATCCAAGCTCATCTTGTACGTTTCCTATTCCAGATCTCAAATCAGCCATTTTCCAAGAAGGCTTGGAAATGTGGTTTTAAGACCATAAAGTCTGGGAAGTGTATCATTACTAGGTTGGTCATTGTTCCTATGCCTTTTCAGGGTGCAGTGCTAATAAATACATGCATACATGTATATACATATGTACATAGATAATACTTCAAGAGACTCCAGCATATTATTTAACTTCTTCAATCTTATATATGTGTCTGCTTTATCCCATGCTAAAAATACTTATCAATGACACTGGAGTGATAGAATGGCAGTCACATAATTGTTCAGTTATTCATCTTATAAAGCACACACAGCAGATTCTGCATGACAATAATAATCACAACACTACCATCTAACATCATATGATTACTGAAAACAGTTTAAGATTATTTTAACAGTTCTTTTTGTTGGATCACATTAGGAATGTGCTAGTAAATTTTTATATTTTAAAGATACTTGAAATAGTTACTTTCCGTATGATTATTATCCACTACTAGAGTATACATTCAGATCATGTTTACTTTGTTTACTTTTTTCCTTGAGGAGAATCCCTTTGAAGTTTGAATTTTTAGTCATACCCTCTGATTCTGGGAAGGTAGGCAAATAATGGAATTTGCATACATTGCAGCTGAAGCAAGCTGTAGAAGCAGCATGTGGAAGCTGGGCAAGTTCCCAACTTTTCCCAGATTATCTCTCCTTTGGCATATGAGTCCCTCAGAAAGACAAGACCCAATTCTTAAGTATTTCTGTGAATTTTGTAAAATATACTTAAGTTTTATTTTTAAAACTTTGCCCCGATCTGCATATGTATTTCTTCTGACAAGGCATTGTGGTGAAGTTGCATTATCAAAAATTGTGTTGAACAACATTCCTTTTTTGTTAAAATTAAATTCAGGAAAAAATGAAATGGAGTATCATTTCTTAAAATATTCAGTACTGTGGAAATGGGTTTGTTTTTTTTTTCAAAATTATCCAAATAATAATTAATTTTATTTTTTGAAGTAAAGTTAGTTTTTTAAAGTTAAAATAGCAATGGCCAGGCGCAGTGGCTCACGCCTGTAATCCCAGCACTTTGATCTGCCGAGGCGGGCAGATCATCTGAGGTTGGGAGTTTGAGACCAGCCTGACCAACATGGAGAAACCCCATCTCTACTAAAAATATGAAAAATTAGCCGGGCATGGTGGCACATGCCTGTAATCCCAGCTACTAGGGAGGCTGAGGCAGGAGAATCACTTGAACCCAGGGGGTGGAGGTTGCAGTGAGCCGAGATCACACCACTGCACTCCAGCCTGGGCAACAAGAGCAAAACTGTCTCAAAAAAAGTAAATAAATAAAATAGTGACATTAATACATGGTTAAAATGTATTTATCACTTAATGTATGTCAGATTCTAATGACTTATCTCATTTTGTCACTTAATTCTCACAGCATTTTTATTGGGTTGCTACCAGTATGCCCGTTTTATAAATTTTGTGAGGAAACTGCGCCATAGAAACATTGTCTCTAAGCAAAGATCAGTTTGTTGTATTACTGCTTATTGTATATCAAGTAATTGCAGGTTAAAAGAAAAGACCATGGTGGTTTTTGAAAGAATTTTTTGTAATTTCTGGGACTTAAATTTAGGTGAGAACTATGAACTTGGTAATTATTATTAGTAGATGTATTAATTTTAAGTGTGTACTGTAAAGTATATTTAATAGCTTGCAATAGTTGAAAATATAAAAGTATTTGAGATTTTGATAGGACTATTGAAATAAATGTTAGTGTGTTTTTTAATGTTCTAATCTATAATAAATTAGTATTTGAAATGTTAGGGACATTTCAACAGAATACATTTATCACGTGTAAAAGCTTAGATAGAAAATGGTTACAATATTTTTTCAATATTTGTTTTTAAAAGTCTACTTAATGTATATTGTCCTTTAGTATGTGTTTAAAAGAAGTAAAGTTAGAATATACAGTTAAGCAAAAATAAGGATAGCCTCTGTTACTGACCATCAGAGCTAACCATTATTAATATTTTGGTATGTAGCATCCTAGATTTTTCCTGTTATTATTGCTTTTACTTGAATTGTTAAGACTTTTAAAATTATAGTATAATTTCTAAGAAAATATTTTTAAAAGAATGCTTGATATTTTGAATCTAATGTATATGGTTCTTTTTTTTCAGGATTGTACTGTATATGAAACAGAGAATAAAATTCTTCACGTGGTGAGTATACTTGGATTTATTTTAATCTTTATTAGAGGATATTTCCTTGTTCAACTAGAAGAGGTGAACCATAAGAAAAAAAATCTACTGACCACATCAGTTAAGTGTATTTTTATAGGAAATCTACAAAACAATCAAAGCATAACAAGTTACGTTAGTTATAACCATTCTATTGTACCTAATAGGAGAAAAAAGGTATAATATTTTAAAATTGTAATGTGTAGCAAGGTTGGAATATAATAAAAAATTAATAATGTAGAGCAAGGAGAATTTGAAATGAGAATTTCTTTTACTGTTCATCTATTACAAAAAAGATCAGAGAAAGGTATTCTGTTCTATAATGGGTAATTCATCTCTATCATCATTTGGATGAAATACTTTATTAAAAAAATCAAATTTCCTTTGCTCCAATTCTATACCTACGAGACAACCTTTCAAATGGTAATATGGCAATATTTTTGAATCAGTTAATGACTTTACATATATTTTATTACTAGAAATGGGCTACGCGTACATTATACTTTGTGGAAAGGCCATCTCCTGCCTTCTTAATGAACAGTTGGCCACTTTTATTTGTAAATGCATTTCTTGATCAATGCTAGTTTGTCCTAATAACTTCTTCACCTCTGGTGTGTGTGAAATCATGTCATTTCTGCATCTGCCAGGTACTAGGCGGTGAAGATCCATATGTCTGTAAAAGGACATTTGCCTCATTTATTCCTAATATCAGTCTATTAAGTTTTATGTTTCTGAAATGTTTGAATATTTATAAAAGAATACTATTTTGTATTTAGAAAAGGAAATACTTTTAAAACATCTAAACGTATGGAGGGAAAATATTACTTCAGAATATCAGCAGTACAGCATCCCTATTCCTTTTTTGTTATCTGTTATAGAAATGATACTGAATAATCCTCTGCTAATCCTCTCCCCCTCATTGTGCAGTAGTGATGCCCTTTGTGGTTTATAAGAATAGTCTCAGGAGTGGATAATTAATTTACTTTTCTCCTTATTAGTCCAGGAGGGAAAATAATTACAACTCCCTCACGTTGATCTACCTGTAGGGCCTGGAGAATAGAAAGACACTAATATTTATTTAGGGCCTATATATTTCAAGTATTAGCTTAATTTCTTATAAGCATATTCTCTCATTTAATCCTACTTTTGCAGATGGTGGAACTAAGGGTCACAAATATTAAGTTGTTCAACTATTCGGTTTGAACACAGAATCTAATACCAAAGCCCATGCCCTTTCCAGATCTGGCAGTTGCTACCAATTCTAGCTCCCTGAGGCTTTACAAATTGTACTATCTTTTTTCCCGTGGAACCCAGGGCTACTGTCTAGCTGTGCCTATTTTGTCAATAACTAAGGAGCATGCACAGACCCTTTCCCACCTACATTTTATTTTCTGTGAGTGACTGTTTCTTTAGCATTGAATTTTCTATGACAATGACTGTTCTTTCTGAAGTATTGAATTTACTGAATTCGACTTTGGTATGCTGCTGTGGGTTCTTCATTGTGTTTACTTCAAGGCTGTTATTGAGGTCAGTGTGTGTTAACATTTTTTTCTTTATCAAGTTTCTCAGGAGTAATCTCCCTGATGTTAGTATCAAAAAGAGCTGTACTTTTCTTCATGCATTGGCTGCTACGAACTTAAGATTAAAATTTGTGGCCCATAATTGACAAGTGCATCTCATGGTATTTGTTTTGTATTTAGCTTCATTCTTGGCTCTACATGATTTCTTTTTGCCTTGTTTTTCTCAATTTATGTATGGTATATATTTTTACATCTGTTGATGTAGCCTTTTCTATGGAGGAATAGTTCCAGTTACAAATGCACATTTGTGATCAATATTCAAATATCAACAAAGGAAATGTAAATAATTTATGGAAAAAGAATCTCTAGAGAACTGTAAAAAATATGAAATTTTATTTCTGAGGAAATTTCAGATTCTACCATATGACAGAATAACAGAAATAGATTTAAATGATGAAAGAAATACTGTGGGATTTCTCTTGTACAAAAGACTTTAAATATAATTTTAATTAATTAGACTAAGGAAATAATCTCTTTGGGGTTATAAAATGATGAATGAAATTTTATTAAATAAAAACCATAATAAGTAATAGCCAAATTTTAAAAGTTCTTAATCACTAAATATTTTTAATTTTAAATAATTTTAAAATAATAAGTAATTTTTAGTTTCTTAAATAAATTCCTAATAATTGACTCATATTGACTTTATCTTTCTCAAAAGCCAGATTCTGGGCTACTTGCTATTAGAAATAAGTAACAGCATAAATAGTACTGAAGGAGTTTAGAAATGAATGCCGTATATTTACCTTGGCAATTTTGCATTCCAGCTAGTGAGAATTTAAAAATCCTGTCTGATGATGATGACAACAGTGAATGGCATTAACCAAATCAGTTCATCTCAGAAAGCACTTGTCTTTTCATGTTATTCTTCTACTTCCCATCCTGACGTTTTTATACAAAGATTACCCAGCCTTTACCAAAAGGTTGTATGTATACTTGTATATTACTTTTTTCACAAGAATAATTTTTTAGAATAATAAAATAGTATACAGTACCACTTAGTATATGAGGCTAGAATAGTTTCTTTAAAACAAAATTTCTAGAATAAGTATCTTTCTAGATCTCTATAGTGTAGAAGAAATAACTTTGAGTCTAAAAAACTGTCTGAATCCTAATTCTACCATTTTCTATCTCGGTGAGCTGAATCAAGTGATGTTTTTGAGAGTTTGTTCTTATTATGTAAAATGGGGATATTAATATCTTTCATGAATGATTGTTGCTAGGATAAAATAAATCAGTAAGTTTTCTAGACAGAGCTTTATAATCTGGTAGTTCTCTTTCCAGTATTTATTTTTTAGGTTATATCTCATTATTTAGGTTTTTTGTTGTTGTTGGTTTGGTTTTTTTTTTTTTTTTTTTGAGACAGAGTCTCGCTCTGTCACCCAGGCTGGAGTACAGTAGTGCGATCTTGGCTCACTGCAAGCTCCATCTCCCGGGTTCACGCCATTCCCCTGCCTCAGCCTCCCGAGTAGCTGGGACTACAGGTGCCCACCACCACGCCCGGCTAATTTTTTTTGTATTTTTTAGTAGAGACGGGGTTTCACCGTGTTAGCCAGGATGGTCTCAATCTCCTGACCTCGTGATCCACCCACCTCGGCCTCCCAAAGTGCTGGGATTACAGGAGTGAGCCACTGTGCCTGGCCTATTTAGGGTTTTTAATATCTTCTTTCTCTCCTTTTTATATGGACCAGTAAATCAAAAGCCAGAGTTTTTATATAGCTTGTTTAGGATGCAATTGTGAGTTAGTTTTAATGTTTTCCTTGTTTCTATGATACTTGAATATTCTAAGTACAATATGATTTATAATGGCTCCTTTTCAAAGATGAATTAATATGTATTGTATATGAGCATCTTAGCCTGGGTTCTTTCTGGAAAACAGAGCCTACAACAAGGCTCGAATGCAGATAGTTTGTGTTGATTAGTTATCCCAAGACTCAGAAGAGACACTGGGAAGGAGAATCAATATGGGTTCTAGAATTGTTCACCACTATAGGGAACTGAAGTTCGATCCCATCGGGACCTTCTGAGAAGCCCTGCAGAATTTGCCTTGGAATTGTCCAACCTGCCTGACAAAAACTGAAGAGGGAGAATGTATCTGCTGGCTCTAATCCAATTATCCCATTGGTCAAAGCTTGCTCCTTGGGGTGTTAACTCTCTCACACTACCAGGTTTTTGGAGGTACCAGAGAGCTCTAGGACAGAAAGCAAAGGTAGTGCAACTGAAGTGAAGCAGATTGCCACAGCAGTAGCTGGAGAAAAAAGTGGGCTGAGTGGGTATGAGATGGGGCTTAAGGGGTGTCTGGTATAATGAAACGCCTCTAAGTGGCAATCCAAATTTTAAAGTATTTTGGATCACATAAAGTATCCTGATAGTGACTGAAATCAAGATTTGCATAACTCACAAAAGCAAGCTTCAAACAGTAGACATAACATAACTTTTGTGTAAAAAAGCAGTGTATTTATAGTGAAGAAAATAATTTCAAGAACTATGCAACAGACTTAATGTTGGTTGTCTTTGCAAGGAATAGGATAAATTTTAGAGGCATTAACTTTAAATTATGTGTTTGTATAATGGTTAAATATAGCATAACAAATATGTGTTAATCAGAAAAAAGTAGTACTAAAATATCCATAGAAATGCCTGAATAGCAACCCAAAATCTAGATTAAAAATGAGTATTTTATTGTTAGATACAATGAATTAGATCTACTACTTGATAGCACAACAGAGTGACTACAGTCAGCAATAATTTGTTGTACATTTTAGAGTAACTGACGGAGTATTACTGGAATGTTCATAACACAAAGAAATGATAAATGCTTGAAGTGATGGATACCCCCATTTACCCTGATGTAATTATTCACATTGTATGCCTGTATCCAAATATCTAATGTACTCCATAAATACCTAATGTATACCTACTATGTACTCAAATTTTTTCTAAAAAATAAGTATTTTTAACAAATGAGTAAGAGTTTCAAATGGGTAAGGAGTGAAAACAGTGCCAGTAGCCAACCATTGACTAACCTAAAGAACATGGCTGAAATCTTTCTAATGCCAGGCAGATTTAGAATCCTATGTAATATATTAATAGTTCTTAGGAACCTTTTCACTTTAGTACACTGGACTGTGAGTTAAATAGGTTTTTAGAACATCCCCAGTGATGGCTGCCATTTAGAAGGAACAAGGAGACCCCAGATGACTGAATAGAGATTATAGTAGCTTGAGATAGGCGCTAGAACATCAACTGTCTTAGCCTAAACCCTACCCCTAAATCTTTATTTTGTCCAGAGGATAGGGAAGGCAGTTTTCAAGAGGAAGGAGAACTTATCACTTATGAAAACTTGTTATAGCCTAGGAATTCCACAAGGCAATACAGGTTGATTGTCCCTTATCTGAAATGCTTGAGATTAGAAGTGTCTCGGATTTCGGATTTTTTTGGATTTGGGAATATTTGCATGATATACTTAACAGTTGTCACTAATCTGAAAATACTAAACCAAAATGCTCCAATGAGTGTTTCCTTTGAGCATCATGTCAGTGCTCAAAAAGTTTCTGATTTTCGGATTAGAGATACTCAACCTGTACGAGTGTCAGAGTGCCCTTCAACACATGGGCAAACTGAGAGAGCTGAGGTTGTGAGGTGGTGTATCTTTCCCTGAAATAGATCTGTATTTAAGGATGGGTAAAGAAAAAGAATGGGTAAGAGGAGAGGAAGTATCCTCTAATATATTAGAAGAAAATCCTTCCACATGAAGTAGGTTTATTATGAACACTTGTTTAATGTTTTCAGTTGAGCCAAAAGATATTACCTGTATTAAAAAAGAATACCATACTATAAAGAAGGTAAGGTCACTATAAACTGAGAGCAAAGTGAACTAAGAAAATAGTACATTAAACTAACATGGAAGCAGAAAATAAACCATGGAGAAAGCATGTATCTTCCCAATTTTTTTCAATTAATTTGCATTTCTTTCATAATGAAAAAGTATAAAAGTATGTATTTATTATAGTATAGTTAGAATTCTGATTGCTTATAATGGATGATTTTATAGTACATATATTGAACTAGTCAGAAGGGACTTGGACAATCCTCAGGCTACATTTTCTGTTCACTTTTCTCACCTCTAAAATTGGAGAGAGTCTTTCTGCTTAAAATCAGAAAGAAGTAGGCTGTGAGGACCAAAATCCCTGGTGGGAAGGGAGATTGGTTGCAGTGTTGGGCAGGGATGTCTGTTAATATGAAGTGTGAGAATGAATAAAAGGAGACTGAACATCTTGGGTTTCCTTTGAATTTGCCATTAAGTATAATGGAACAGACAATAGAATACAACCATAAAGGACAAAAGGCAATACAGATAATCAATATAGTATATATCTCAGTGATTATCGACTAAAGATAAATAATATTATGTTTCACTTCTATTGATCTGATCTTTTCCTTCCAGTTAGTTTTTGTTCTGGATTACACATTCTCTGGCAGGTTAGAGCCCATCTGTTTTGCTCTGTGCAGATCCTTGTTTTATATAACAAATGAGTTACAGAGAATCTGGAATTTTCAGTTCTATACTCTACTTACTCCTCACTCCTGCCTTTCAGTACACCCATTGAGTCTGGAGTGATAAGCTCTCCTGAGAAGTCATTTCAGAGCTTGTGCTTTAGCAGACTTCCTCTGCTTGTCCCTGCCCTGCCATTCTCATTGGTGAGCCTGGAACACTTGTCGGCTTTGATTAAACTCATGGAAATCCCAGGCCAGGCGTAATCATTAAGGTCACATTGTTTAAATCAGATTGTTCTGAGCTCACAAACACCTTTTACATTAGCCAAAGGTATGGCCTTGTATATGGCACTTTGTATTTTAGCATTTTACCCCATTGCTTTTGTAAAGATAATAAATACTGCAAATGCCTATTTTATTATTTTAGTGTTAATATTATCTTCTAGTTATATAGTACTTTACAGTTTACAGAACATTCTCAGGAATGCTTTCTTCTCTTTTTTCTCTTTTTTTTTCTCCAAGCTATTTTTTTCTTTTGTTACTTAGGTTTGATCATGAATTAGGCTTATTTTGGCATGTTAAGTATTTGTTTTATTTCATAAACATTCTTTGTAATTTTTTCCTTTCTTTAAATTTATGAATTCCTTGCCCTTAAACTCCATCTGGAGTGAGATTATTATGTCTTCTCTGGTATCCAGACTAGAAATAGCTTAAACTGCATAGAGCCAACAGTTAGATGTAAGAGAGGATCCTGGAGGAGAAAGTAAAGGGCTCATTTTAGTCTTTTCCCTGACATCTACATCATATCATTTATGAAAGTATAGCTTTCCTCTTCTGATGGATCAAAACCTTGAGGATGTGTTTAAGTACTGGTGTAGCAGCATACCCCAAAGTGAAATAAAAGTGATCATATTAATGTTAATAGCTTATCTTTAGAGATTTCTTGAAAACAATGGTACTCTAGTGACTTAAAAATCCCTGAAGATAATTTTAACTCGTCTTCAGGAGGTTTCTGATGCTGTGATGAAGCAGCTTTTGCCAGTTGTAGCCCAGACTCTTCTAAAAGCTATGATCTTGATCCAAATGCAAACTGAATTTTTTTTCAGTATGGTTGAGATTTTGTTGGTAACTGTAGCATTTGAACATATAAATTATGGTCAGTCTCACTAAAACATCAACTCTAATACTGAGTTTTATAGATGAAAAACGTAAGATGCTTCTTTATGTTTTCGAAGTTAAGGTCACCCTTCTGTCTCAGCCCCCTTTATTATCTTTGTGGTCAGCCTGAAGAAATGTGCTAACAATATTGCTGAAATAGGCGTTGGATTCTTTGGTGTCATATTATATTATTTTCAGATTTTGACACTTTGGTGGTTAATTGCATTGTAAATTATTTTAACTATAAATTCTCCACAACTGATGCCTCATGCAGGAAAGGAAAAATGAGAAATCCAGATATAACATGATAGAGGTGGAAAATGTTTGTCTTTCCTGGGACAAAAAGAAAATGTGTGTGGCCTATGTGAAGAATTAAAATAATCTGGTTTTAGTGTTTCTGATTATGATTTAGGTAGACATTTTATAAGGCAGTATATTTATTTATATAGGTGTTTTTGCTAACATTACATTTGCTGAACACATTATGCATTGCAAGATGCTTCCATATTCATACTGACTCTGAAAGTACAATTCTTGTCCTCACAGTAGTATTCATTTTTGTTGGGGAGTCAAGTGAGGTAGAATAATACAGTAGAAAGAGCAGCAATCTGAGAGTTAAAAGGATAGGTGTCCTGACCCCATTCTGGCATTTACTAGCTGTAAAGAAGCTAAGTTAGCCTTTCTGACTAAGTTGAGGGCTTGGAGTATCTGTGACTTTTAAGGTCTAAATGCCATAATTCTTAGATGACAAATTCACAAGATCATTAGAAAGCAGTATGGCCACATAAAGCGATAAATTGAAGAACTGTCTTTATTTGAGACCACTGTATATATGACCAAGGACACTATATATTTTTAAAAATAAAGTTAGCAGGCACATATTCAGTTTTGATACATGGGCATATTGCATAGTGGTGAAGTCTGGGCTTTTAGTGTAGCCATCACCTGAATGGCGTACATTGTAACCATTAAGTCATTTCTTACCCCTTACCCCCTCCTACCGTTCCACTCTTCTAAGTCCCCAGTGTTTATCATTTCACATTCTATGTCCACATGTATACACTTTTTTTAAGCTCTCACTTATACGTGAGAACATGTGGTATTTGACTTTCTGTTTCTGAGTTATTTCACTTAAGATAATGGCCTCCAGTTCCATCCATGTTGCTGCAGAAGACATGATTTTATACTTCTTATGGCTCAGTAGTATTCCATGGTGTGTGTATACACACACACACACAGAGACATATATGTACACACATATATATCACATTTTAATCCAGTCTGTTGATGGACACTTAACTTATTTAGTTCCTTATCTTTGCTATTGTGAATTTTGATATAATATTTGTTTTCCTTTGGGTAGATACCCAGTAGTGAGATAGCTGGATCAATGCTATATATTTTTTTAAAGTGCAATTATAGTCACTGTCAATGTAAAGATTTCTTCCACAAGGTAATTGAATCAGTCTGGAAACAGAAGCCACACAGTAACTTAAAGGAAGTTTGATATAAATAATTATAAATTATGATAAGAAATACCTGCAAACAGGTAAAGAGCGCCCTAAACCATGTCCTACAACTGAGGAATAGTACCCAAGGAAGGATATCTTTTAAGTGGAACACCCTTCCCAAGGCTGAGAAGGTGTGGCTGCAGCTTCATTGGGTTGCATAGATCAGAGCTTATCCACAGTTGCCAGGCAAGTGGAAGACAACCTTCGAGGATGTAGGCAAATGATGCTGCTGGGAAGGTTCACAGCAAGAGTTAGGATGATGCTGTGAGTAAGAGGTCTGGAGAGCATGCTGAGATAGCCTCAGGATGGTGATCACTGAGCCCAGGCTGAGGCTGCAATGTCACTGTGGGACTGCATGATCTGGACATGTGGCTGGGGCACAGCACTACCGATATCCCCACACACATGCACTGCTAGTGGACCCTGCAACAGGAACAAGAAAAAAATAAAAGAATGCCCATGGGAACCTAGAAGCCTTCTTCTCCTTGCAGTGTCCCTCCACTGCCCTCTATTGACAAAAACTTAACATTGTGCTTACTGTACAAGATAAATGCTTAGAGTCCAATCCATTGTCACAGAGCAAGCACTGAAGGATGAATTGAGCTGAGAGCCACAAAACTCATAACTGACACAGTGTGGTTAGCTCTTACCTCCATAAAACTACATATAGCTACTTCACATTTCTTGACTATAAGTGAAGACATCGCTCCCAGGTCTCTGCCGTTTGGTCCCTATTTATCCATAAAGTGTATATATATAGTGCCTTAAATTTCCAGAAGCTTATCTAATTATAATGAACTGCTTCACTCTTGCTATTTGAATATAAAATCCAAGCTAAAATCAAAACATTTTTCTAATAACCTACATCTTAGTTGAGCTATCAATATGTCCAGTCTGTTCTTTTTCTTGAGCCTGAAAGTCATGTGTCCTCTAATGAGTGATCTCTCATCTTCTTCGGAACCTGCCACAAGCCTGCTTGTCTCTGTTTCCTGCCTATGAAACAGCAGATAAATAGAATTGAGATTTTCCCAGATCCAATTCTGGTTTCCAGCTTACTCTATTTCCCTATCAGAAGTGAGAGTAGTGGTGGAGCCTCTTGTCCCAACTCTTAATTCATACCAGATTGTTTCAGGTAAGTAGCTGAAAGTAGGCTCGAAGTGTCATGGGTGAACTTCTTACTCATCAAAGGTGTACATTTGGGACTGACATTTTCTCACTGTTTTGGCATTGACCTTATCATTCTTAGATGATTATTATCTTAAAGTGTAATTTTTAGGCTGTATTATTATCTCAATGTTGGGCTCACTAGGCATTAAAATATTTGATATTTACTTGCCAAACAATGTTCAAAGCACAGTGGTTAAGCACGCAGGAACTGAAGCAAAACTGCATGATTGTAACTTGGCTCTGCCATTTAAAAGTTGAGTGACCTTGAGCAAGTTTTTAACATCTTTGTGCCTCCATTCCTACATCTGTACAATAGAGATAATAGCAGTATTTCCTTCTTAGGGAGGTTGTGGGGGTTAAATTTGTTAATACATGTAAATGACTTAGAAGAATACTTAGAATATAGTAAGCTTTCAATAAATATCAGTTATTGTTTCATTTAGTCCTCCTCACTATACAGTGAGATCGGTATTATTTTTGTCCCAATTGTATACATAAGGAAACTGAGGCACACAAAAGGATTAAACAACTTTCCCCAGATCATGGAGCTAGTAAGTGGTGAAGTTACTATTCAGTCTGAGGCTTTTAATCACTATACTATAGCTGACTCTGTAGATGACCTCGAAATCTAATTCTAAGGTCATAAATTATAGACATTTAATTTCAGTGACTTTCTTTTGTCTTTCTATTGATAATTTTCCTTTGGCATTCATGGTAGACAGGATTCTAAGATGACCCCCAGGACCCCTGTCCCCTGGTATATAACTGCCCTCTTCTTCAGTGTGGTTGAGACCAGGGAATACAATGAATTTCACTCTCATGATTAGGTTTTGATCTATGGCAAAGGTGAAGGAATTTCAAGGATGTATTTAAGGTCTCTTGTCAGTTGACTTTAATATAATTAAAAGAGAGATTATCTTGGTGGGCCTGACCTTATCATGTGAGCCCTTTAAAACAAGATTCAAAGGAGGCAGATATTCTCTTGCTGGCCTTGAAGAAATCAGCTGCCATGTTGTGAGAGGGCCTGTGTAGGGAGTCACGCAGTGAGGACCTGAGGACAGCCTCTGGGAGTTGAGAACAATCTCCAGATGACAGCCAACAGGAAAGTGGGGACCTCAGTCATACAGCCACAAGGAAGTGGATTCTGCTGACAACCTGAATGAACTTGAAAGCAGATTCTTCCCTACTTACACCTCCCTGTAGGAATACAGCCAAGTTGACAGCTTGGTTTCTGCCTTGTGAGACCGGGGACTGGTTCCAGTGCCTGGACTCCTGAGCCATGGAAACTGAGAGAATGTGTGTTTCTTTAAGCCTCCAACCTTGTAGTAATTTGTTACACAGCTATAGATACCTAATACAGTATCATTAATTTAAATTTCAACTCAAGAAGAACAAAAACAAAAAATGTATTTTTTAAAGCCAAAGAGAGACTAGTAGCCAGCAGAGAATAAATACGAGAACAATTCTTTTGAGAATTTAAATATAAGGTACTATATTGCCTCCTAACTTATTTGATTCATGTCTTATTTATTATAAATACTTTTTTGATTAGAGGCAACAACATGTCATTGTGAAAAGAACATTTGACTAAGCATCAGCACTTCTGGGTTTTAGTCTTGACTTTTCCATGAACTTTGTTGTGTGACACTTAACCTCTCATGGATCCCCGAGTGTCATTCAGGAAGATTAAACAAAATGATTTCAAATCATCTGTCTCAAAATTCTGTGAATATAAGGATTTAAGTAATTAGAAGCTTGTAGTAACAGGACTAACACTGTCAATAAGCTTTAGGACCTTTAAGTTTTAATGTGGGAAAATGTAAGAAATTAGGAGGAAATTATGCTTTTAAGATCATGAATTTTGACTTACTAATTTTAACGCATAATAGGCTGTTAGGGGTCATTGCTTCTTTTCTGTTATCAGGAACACAAGGGCAGCATGCTCAGTGTCAGTGATGGTAAGCACAAAACCAAATACATTAGCAGAAACACTGTCCCAGGCTATGAAATTCTTGAGTGTAGTAGTTGGCGTTTGAATCATGTAACAGACACTTAGTGATTGTTGAAGGCATGAATGGCTTAATGAAGGCTGGTGATTTTTGTTGTGTTTTTCCCCACCATGAGAGTTTGACATGTAAAGGGATTGTAGGAGTTTTCCAGGCCTTATTGGGATGAAGTTCACATGACCTTTATTTACTTGCAACTATTTGCTTTCTCAAGCTATTTGAAAATCTTAGTCTTTGCTGTATATAAATATAATTTTAATATTGGGTTAAAATTGGAATTTTATTCTATTACATTAGTTTTTCAAGTTTAAAAAGTTTTTCTCCTTCAATTCTCTGTACTCGTATGAACAAGAAATTCTTCCTGTGTTGCACGTATGTTTATTACGGCATTACTCACAATAGCAAAGACTTGGAACCAACCCAAATGTCCAACAGTGATAGACTGGATTAAGAAAATGTGGCATATGTACACTATGGAATACTATGCAGCCATAAAAAATGATGAGTTCACGTCCTTTGTAGGGACATGGATGAAGCTGGAAACCATCATTCTCAGCAAACTATCACAAGGACAAAAAACCAAACACTGCATGTTCTCACTCATAGATGGGAATTGAACAATCACTCATAGGTGGGAATTGAACAATGAGAACACTTGGACACAAGAAGGGGAACATCACACACTGGGGCCTGTTGTGGGGTTGGGGGAGCGGGGAGGGATAGCATTAGGAGATATACCTAATGTAAATGACAAGTTAATGGGTACAGCACACGAACATGGCACATGTATACATATGTAACAAACCTGCACGTTGTGTAAATGTACCCTAGAACTTAAAGTATAATAAAATATATATATATATATATATATAAAAGAAATTCTTCCTGAGTTGGAGAATGTGTATATGGAATAATAATTTTAAATACTAATTTAAATTCTGTTTCTGAATGTTACTCTTTCAAAGTTACCTATGATTGTTCAACAGTTGTGTCTTGTTAGGGAACCATCATAAGAGTGCAAAATTTCTAGCTCAACAGAAATCTGTCAAGTACTAAGATACTAAACATACTATATTTAGTGAGGCGTATACTTACAGTTCTCACAACTTAATATCAGAATAAATGTATGATATTTTATAAAAAACAAAGCCTCCCTTGTTCCCCCAGTACAATGCACATGTCATCCTACATTGGCACAGAGTTGCAGAACTTATAATACTGAATTATACTAATATTCAAATAAAACAATAAAATAAAAACATACTGGCTGGGTGCAGTGGCCCATGCCTGTAATCCCAGCACTTTGGGAGGCCGAGGCAGGCAAATCACGAGGTCAGGAGTTCAAGACCAGCCTGGCCAACATGGTGAAACCCCATCTCTACTAAAAATACAAAAAATTAGCTGGGCGTAGTGGTGCGCACCTGTAGTCCCAGCTACTTGGGAGGCTAAGGCAGAAGAATCACTTGCACCGAGGAGTCAGAGGCTGCAGTGAGCTGAGATTGCATCATTGCCCTCCAGCCCTGGCGACAGAGTGAGACTTCGTTTCAAAACAAAACAAAACAAAACAAAACAAAACAAAACAAAAACCCATACTTTATTCTTTAGACATTTTAATTGAAATATTATTTATATCAATAAATATTTAAACATGTACACAACTGTTTATCAAAATAAACTTTCATTACTATTTTCCATGCTATTGATAATAAGCCTGAATTGTTTAAACTGTATTTAAATTGTAACTTTCACATCATTGTTGCCATCTTAAGATGTATATCTATCTGTTGCTTCCTTAATTTATCTTGATTTTATATTTTATACTCTTATTCCTTGTATATACGTATATACCCAAAAAGTATAAATTTCTTTTTGTAAAGCTTTTTTTAACCTTATCAGCCTTGAGTTCTTTCCTGCATCAAATGAATTTTCTGACTTTTTAAACTAAAGATATTTTTATTCATTTGTTCCAGTATACTTGGAAGAATAATTGAACAGTACCCCACTTACTTAGAAAAGCAAATAAAAATACTTTAAGTAGCTCAATAATGCCTAAGTGTGCTTCCAGACTGACATAAGAGTTTTTTCTGTCCCTTAGCTTTTTACCACTGTTTGCACTTAGAACACTTTCTGCATTTCTTTTTTAAAAAAACAATAGCTGGCCAGGCGTGGTGGCTCACGCCTGTAATCTTAGCACTTTGGGAGGCCAAGGCAGGCGAATCATGAGGTCAGGAGTTCGAGACCAGCCAGGCCAACATGGTGAAACCCCATCTCTACTAAAAATACAAAAAATTAGCGGGGTGTAGTGGCAGGTGCCTGTAATCCCAGCTACTCGGGAGGCTGAGGCAGGAGAATAGCTTGAACCCGGGAGGTGGAGGTGGCAGTGAGCCAAGATCATGCCACTGCACTCCAGCCTGGGCAACAAAGTGAGACTCTATCTCAAAAAATAATAATAATAACAATAGTAGCTAAAACTTCATGTATTAATCTTAAAAGTATCTGATAAATTCAGATATAATGAAAGAAATCTATTCAGACATAATGAAAGAATGCTATCTTATTATTGGTTAATGTCTTAATGTGGGATTATTATTTTTTGAATCCCCACATTAAAATGTTGCTTTATTTTGTGCTAAATATGCTCTGCTCTGATCTTTTTCCCCTTTAAAGCTTATATTTAGGTAAACCAGCGTGTATGTGTGTGTGTATATATATATGTATGTGTGTGTGCGTGTATGTGCAGATAGATAGTATAGAACAGAATACAAAAACTTTGCATTTCAGCCTGAGAATATGATGTATTATATTCATATTTGAAATTAATATAAACTACCTGAGAAAAAAAACACACAATACCATAAAATTCAGCATATGACACTCTTCAGTTTTAAAAGATTAAGTCATGGCTACCCTTGTCTGTTATTCAGTCATTAATCCTTTGTCACCTTGGGTAGTTTATAACAGAATCCAGAAAGTCAGTTAAACATTTATTTCCATTTCATGTTCTCTGTAGCTTTTTTAAGGCATATCATTTACTATTCTTTAATTTTAGGTACAAATTTTTCTTCTATTTTTAGAAATAAAGATAAATATAATTTAAAATACCTCGGGGGCTGGGTGCAGTGGCTCACGCCTGCAATCCCAGAACTTTGGGAGGCCGAAGTAGGTGGATTACCTAAGGTCAGGAGTTAAAGACCAGCCTGACCAATATGATGAAACCCCATCTCTACTAAAAATACAAAAAGTAGCCGGGCGTGGTGGCGTGAGCCTGTAGTCCCAGCTGCTCAGGAGGCTGAGACAGAATTGCTTGAACCCGGGAGGCGGAGGTTGCAGTGAGCCGCCACTGCACTCCAGCCTGGGCAACAGATCGAGACTCCATCTCAAAAATAAAATTAAAATAAAATAAAATAATTTGATATGAATATTGCGAAAATAGCAAATAATAACAGTGGTTACTAGTCATCTTCTAGCTAGTATAGAGTTGTCCTTTTGCTGGTAAAATTGCTCTAAGTTTTCCCAGACAGCCATGTCTTTCACAGTCTCAGTTCTAATATTCCTTATCTAAACTACATTCTAAATTGCAAGAACACTTGCAAGCCTGCCTTATATTTTGTTATACTATGTAGTTTAAACATGTTATATAACATCCATCTAATGTAGACATTGATTTTAAACAATACAAAATGAAATTGATCAAAAAAAGTCCAGTGCTAAGCATAGAAACAGAATTAGCACAATAATGATTAGGAATTCAAGTCCTTCTGCCATGCTAATGACCTTGGTCTATTTAGCCTCCTTCTCACATCTGTTAAACTCGCTATAATACCTACTTTAGGAAGTTGTTATTAGGATAAACGAGATAATAAATATGAAGTATTTAGCATTGTGCCAGACACATGGTAGGTGATCTACAAATTATAGCTAATAATAATGTTGTTGAATTATAATAAAAGGGTATTTTTCTTGCTATTTTATGATTTTCTTTTTCTAGAATATGCTTAGGTAGTAATAGATAATATTGTGTTTTAAAATATAAATTATAATAATATAATGTCTCACATGATTTCACTTAATGAATAGCATTGACCAAATTCAGGTTTTGTAAGATACATTAAATAACTTCCCTGGAACTTTCCTATAGTGCTGCTAATGTGGTTTCCTGCAGTAACTTGATGTATGATGCAGTAATGAGTATAGAATTAGCATGTAAAGCAAGACCATTTTATACCCCTTCTAATTGCCTTATTTAGTTAAGTGCCAAATGCTACAATATAAAGTTTCTAGCGTATTATCTCTAAAACAGGAAGCAAAGTTCTAATGGGGTTTCTTTTCTAATTCTATTTTTTAAGACCTTTAATCTGTTAACTCCTGATAGCTTTGCTGGTAAAGTCAATGTGTTTACTCACCTTTTGTATTCCTAGCAGCACCTAGCACATAGCAAGCATTTGGCAAACAAAATTACTCAAGAGGAATCTGAGAAGACGTTTTTGCAACTTAATATGATGAATTTAATTGGTATTTTCTTTTCCCTAAAATGTCTACAGTCTGGTATTTCTGCCTTTCCTTTTTCCACTCCAGTTCTATAAAACTACCAGTGCCTGAATAGGAGAGCTACTGTTGCTCATTACAAGAGTGTTATATGAGGCCTTGAATGTTGTAAGAAATATACATATGTATATATAGACAGAGAGCCATTTATATACATCCATTACTTTCCTATTTATGTATTGGACTCTTTTGAAATATGCTTCAATTTGTAGAAACCACAAGGGTTCTTTTTAACATACTGACTTCGTACCCTTCAGATTAGCATGCTATCCAAGTATCCTGTATAGAAACCCTTCAGCATTCACAGTGTTATCTCCCCTACTTGAGATAAAGAGAAAATAAGAATGAAAATATAACCACATAGGTAAGGGAAGGAATAGCTAAAAGATTTAATTCTGCCATTATTTTTCTTCCTGTCAAACATAGAATTTGAACCGCAGCCAGTTTTTATATGTTAAGTACTGCCATTCTGTCCTTTCTCCATGGCTGCTGATGTATATTTTTAAGACAAATTTTTAAAAATACAGAGAATGGGATTCCAGGATGGGCCACATAATTTGTGAGACCTAGTACAAAATGAAAATGCCAAGCCCCTTGTTCAAAAACAATTAAGAATTCTAGGATAGCAACAGCAGAGCATAAAACCAAGTGTAGGCCCATGTGCAACTGCACAAGTCACCCTCCCACAAAGCTGGCCCTGAAGGGTTTCCTATTTCAGGGGAATGATCTTCCTGTTGGCACTTTGCCTAGCAGCTTTTCAGAGTAAATACCTTCATTGTATCTAAGAGCATTGAGACCTGAGCGTCAGAGAGAGTAAAGAGATGTGAACTGTCCATCATGGCCATGCAGCTAGACTAACCAGTGTAGTTACTGATCATTGTAAGATGGTCAGCAAGGTAATTCAATTAAGAATAATGAGATAATTCATACCATGAATAGGATTTCAGTATTTTAAGGGTTGAGAAAGCAACAGAGGAGGAAAAAGCATTTATTGGGTGTCTTTTTTGGATAGGAGCCATATTGAACTCTTTTTAATGCATTATCATGTCTTAGCATGTCAGCCATATAAAGTAATCTTTATTAGCTCATTTCATTTTCTATCTGAGGAAAGTGAATCTCAAGGATATAAAATAACTTGTTTATAGTCACACAGCAATCATTGGCAGTGTGGTGATTGCCCACAACTGTCTTCAGATCAAGCCCATGTTCTTTCTATGGGTATTGGTACCATGAGGCTGTCTCTCTTGAGGGGCTGATAGACACAATAAAAGTACAGACTTGAGAAGCAGATGCAAACAGCACTAGCACAATTAGCGAAATTTAGCATGACAGTTTCTTTAGTGTAAAGAATCTGAACCCAGCACAAAGTGAGGCCATGGACCAAGGACAGAACATAGTAAATAAAAAGAGAGTTCTTATTATCTTGACCAGACAGGAGAAACTGTTGTGAGGGGAAAATAAATCTCGGGATCCCCAAATCACTAAGCCAAGGGAAAAGTCAAGCTGGGAACAATGTCAGTCAAACCTGCCTCCCATTTTATTTCTAAATACGGTAGCTACAAAGATAAGAAGCTACATACCTCCCTCACAATTTGCCCACAAGGAAATACCTTGTGGACAAAGGACAGACAGAACTCAAAGTCATTCCTCTGAGGCTCACCTGAGACAAATGCATATCTGATTGCTTCCTCTGCCCTCTTTGTTTATATAAAAATGCAGATTCACTGAGCCAGACTAAATTTTGTATTCAGTGGAAGGCTGATCAAAGACTCAAAAGAATGCAACCTTTTGTCTGTTATCTACTTCTAACCTGGAAGCCCCCACTTCGAGTTGTCCTGCCTTACAGGACTGAAGCAGTGTACATCTTACACATATTGATTGATGTCTCATGTCTCTCTAAAATGTATAAAAGCAAGCTGTACTCCAATCACCATGGGTACATGTCATCAGGACCTACTGAGGCTGTGTCACGGGCGTGTCCTTAACCTTGGCAAAATAAACTTCCTAAATTGACTGAGATTTGTCTCAGATATTTTGGGTTAACACTGTCTACCTCACAGTAGACTAATAACAGTGGCTACAGAACAAATGTAACATGTTGGAGATGGATAGATGATAATACCTTGATTGCAAAATAATAGTTCCTCCTATAGTTAAAGCAAAAAAAAAAGTTTCAAATGATGAAAATCAGGCTTCAGTAAATACAATGAGAGTCTGTGAAGCATCTGAGGGCCAGCATATTTTAGGGCAGTATATTTCAAGCTTCTTCACTCCTATTCTACTTTCTTCATGATTTTGCCATGTGTAAGCCTTAAAATACCATGATAGCTGTAACACATATTTTACATTTATTGTTTCATACAGTTAGTACGAATGGATTTATCCTGACAAAAGCACTAGCTTTCTGTCCTTAGTAAAGCCACTCTACTAATTGTTTAAGCTCATTTGCTCTTCAGTTCATTCAACTAATATTTATTGAATGCTTTGTATTTTCTAGGATTTGTCTACCTGATGTAGGTGGTAGGTGGGGGTGGAGGGAAAAAGATAAGAAGACAGAGATGAGTAGGGCATGGTACCTGCCTCAGAGGGATTCAGAATAAAATAGTTTCGCAGTTTCAGATTGTTCATAGAATGCTGAGAAAGCAGGATTGAGACTTTGCCTGGAGGAGGTGGGAAACTTTATACAAAGTTGAGCAGGAAAGTCTAGATAAATAAGTAGGAAGAGTTTGTTAAGCTTATTTGGAAGATTCATCTTTCCTGGATCTTGGCCAGATTTTTTTTAACTTTTCTGACCATGAATTAAAAGACTTCGAGATTTTTTATAGTGTTCAGTTCAATCTTGTGGTTGTAATCAGGAGGTTCTCAGATTAAGTTTGTTTAACCATCATTTTTTGTAGGTATGGTAAATCAAATAATAGAAACAGTATAACCATAACTAATGAATATTTTGGCATATAGTTCTTACACTCATAATTTAGAATATAGGTGTGTTGTGTGTAAATGTGTTTCCATTTCACCTGAATTTCTTTGTACAGATTTTACAGAATAAAATGCCAGTTACTTTCTTCTACTGTTTATTTTTCCTTATGAAAACGTTATTACAAAAGGTGATTTATATGTTACTTACAACACGTATTTACCACAACTATTTTTGTTTTTGTGCTTCCAGTGTAAAACTCTTTCTGGAGTCTGTGACCACATCATATCCCTGTCGTCAGATCCTCTGGTTTCACAGTCTGCTCACCTGGAAGTGATTCAACTGGCAAACATTAAACCAAGCGAAGGGCTGGTAAGAGATACCATGTTTATCAAAACCACCATCCATCAGTAGAGAGCTAATGATGTGGACAAAGCAGCCTCTGAATGTGGGAATCTATGAATTTCAACAGACACTGAACATTTTGGTATTTTTTTCCTGGAGGAGTTATGGTAGTGGAAGTTTGTGATGCATGATAAGAAGTTTTATGAAGATAAATGAAAATGAAGGAGAATTGAAAATGGTGACTTCTGAATTAATTTAATTTGGTACTCATTTAGCTTCAATTACATTCTTTCACCTCCCTCCCTACCAAAGTTCCTTAGGTTTAAAGGAAGTTTAAGAGTTTTATAATAAACACCACAATGTTACCTGCTCATGAAAGTTGGTTTTTTGTTTGTTTGTTTTGTTTGTTTTACTTTGGTTTGTTCTGGTTTTAATAGTTATTCCTTCCCCTAGGGTGGGTTAGCTAAACAAAACTGATATTCTTTATAACTCGCATTCATTCTTAGAAGGGTAAGTAAGCACGTGGATATTGCCAACACTAGATGTCTATGAGTTGTATTTTTTTATTATGTAATAATAAATATAATCATGTTTGATATTTTGTTCACCTGATTAAAAAGTGTATTGGTTCTAGATTTAACCCAAGAGAGAGATTTTTTAAAATATAAGTCTATAGGAAGAAAGCATATAAAAATTGATATTGAGACAGAAAACAAGAAACTGGCTAGAGAATATCTTAACTACTACACAACTATTACATGTTAGTTTGGTGCTATAGTGTTTCCACTTTCTCCCTGTATATGAATTTACCAATTAATGATATTTTGGAAAATAGAAATCTTGACAACTAGCATTAATAATTGAATTCAGATAATATATTCTTTAAGATCTCTAAGCAAGTTTAACTTTTTCTGTGGCTTTTCTTTTTCATACATCTATATAACTGTTCAGAAGGCAAAGCCTTTATTGACTACCACTGATTTTTCAGTTTGAGGCCATCTATCCTAGAGAGTAAGTTTTCTGCAGATATGTGGCAAATTAATTCTGGTTATCTGTAGTTCCTAGTGCTGTTGTGGCTTTTATGGGTGTTTTCCTGGGAAGGAATATGATGAAAATCAGCATATCAGACATAGCATGCCATCATTGTGATCTGTAAGTGCTATATCTAATGTTGATTACATTTAGAACTTCTGTTAAGTAATTATAATCTAAAATTTTTTTATTCCTTTTAGTTACATCTACAAAGTCCAGTTTTATTTTTAAAACACTTCAATCTATAGCAATAAGGATTGGCCTTTCTATGTATCCCCTTTTAGTAGTTATAAGGGAAAGGAAGTCCCCTAAGCATGATTTTTAGAGTGAAAAATTATGAACTAATACAACATTGTATTAAACTAGAAGTCAGAACACCCAGATACAAATAACTTACATAAAATATAACTATGAGAGTGATCTTGAAGAGATGGGAGAGTAAATTTAACCACCTTGGCCTTGATCTAGTCATGTAGGTGAGGGAGATGAGGAGATCATCTTTAAAGCTCCTTCTGGCTCTTAGTCTGTGGTTCTAAAAAGAAAAAAGCCTGACTTTTTTTCTCTAATTTCCACTGAAATCATTGGGAGAAATAACCTTGTAAAATAAGTCAAAACAATGCTAATTAATGGGCTTTATGAAATCTTGATTTTTTAAGGAAGGTATAGCCCTGGACAGGTCCTTTATTGTTTTCATTTGAAAGAGGTAGATCTGGGAACTTAAAATGCTAAGAACCAGATTCAGTTAAACAGTTTAGGAGAGAGCTAGAAGAGAAAAGAAATGAATGCCCATCACTTGCCAGGTATTTTTCTCACACCTCTATAGAGTAGATATTAATTTTCTCATTTTGCAAATGAGAAAATAAAATTGCACATATTCACCAGTTTGCTCTGTATCACATATAGACAATAAATAACAGAGGCAGGGTTTAAGTCCAGGTAAATCTAGATGAAGTACATCTGAACAAAGCTTTTTTTACTATTCCACATTCAAATTTTGAATTGCTAAACAGGTATGAGAAGCTTAGGAGGATGACTTTAAAACTGAAATTACTTAGAGAAATTTGTTTTTAAAGGACAAGGGGCAGCACTTCACTGGGAATTGAAAGGAAGGAAAAGAAAAACTCAAAATGTTGAATATTAATAGAAAGAGTTAAGTATAAAACTATTTTTTGTGATTCGTATCAAAGGGGAAGTACTAAACAGAGAATTTACATGGCTTATTCAAGGTATCGTTTTAAAACTCAGTCACGTTTAAGTAAGTTTAGTCAGTCACATTTGAAATAAACCAATTTTAGGATTTTGATTTAGGATTTTGGTAATTAGCCATAGTAAATGTCTAAATGATAAATGAAGGAAAGAAATAGAAAGCGGTGGGAGAATACCAAGATTTAATGAAATTTAATTAGCTTAGAAATATCCACAGAAGGTGTTCTTCCAATGTTAGGACAGAACATGTCTCATAGGCAAAAGGTAACTGATTTGTTCTCCTGCTGATAAACTGGATACATCGTTTATCAGCTTTCTAATTAGTCAAATCTCCTAGAATTTCTTAGGTTTAACAGTCCTAAAGCATTGTAAGGACTGGTGAGAAACAACCTTAGTTATGATTGAACCATATGAAACTTTCTTCTAAAGTGCTTTTAAACAACAATAATTAGCAGAAAATTAAAGGAAGGAAAATGAGAGCTATTGAAACAACCAAACTGGATCAGAGCCAAGGCATGAGCCAAATAGAGAGGAAGGGACTGGGGTCATCCCTGGGGAAACCTCTTGGCCTCAGGGAGTTCTTTTTCTATTTGGGTACTTGGACCATCTCCAAATATGCCTTATTCCACCAACTTGACTGAGAGGTTGCTTTGGCTCCTGTTGGTTAACCAACATTTGGAGACAGAGCAAAGCAAATGTCATTTTGGCAACCTGAGCAGGAGAGAGGGAGCTGTGCAAGTCAGCTCTAGAATTAATTAATGAATTTTTAAGAAGAGAGAAAAGGAGGAATGAAGGTTTTGATGAAATGGAAAGCCATATTTGTCACGGTTCCAGAAAAAGAGTCATTTGAATTACATGTCCTCCTGCTGTTTGGCCCTTTCTCAGAGGTGAACAATGAATCAGATGTATTTCTCTGGACCCTTTCTTATTCAGAAGATGATTAGTTTGAAACTCATCCAAGCAACTTATTTCTTCTCTTTCTTTTGGTGCCTGACTTTTGGCCATTTTTCTCATTACTACTATGAGAGGGAGATTAAAAAAGACAAAGAAGTCAGTTTTGATTATTAAAAGCAGTTACAACATGGTTTATTGAGTTTAGAAGTGAAAATATTACATAAAACAAAATATCTTTATTCTTGTGGCATTTAAAAATTTGTTTTATTTCTACCCTATTGCTTTATGTCTATATGTAGATACATCTCTAAGCATTTAAAATTTTTATTCATCTGAAAAAAAATAGCTTTAATATAAATTGTACAATGTTGTCATGATGAGATCCTCTTCCTATAACTACTAGATACTGTCTTTGGCTTACAATTGTCAGTTAAGTTCCTGGTATTTGTAATAATTATACACAGATAAATTTAGAGTCATAGCTATGCTGTTTCCATGATTTTTTATTATCCCAATAACTACAGTGTCTTTTCTAAACATTTTTCTTTAAATATTAGGCTTTCTTTATGACCTCATCATTTATAGAATCATTTAGGACTCTTGTCAAACACCTTTAATTCGTAGTCAATAGTGAAAGATACATGGAGAAAAATAGAATCAACTTCTGCTTACAGTTGTCAAGATGTTGACAGCTGTTGTGAAACCTCGGTTCTTCTTAGTTTAAAAGAACTTAAACAAGAGATACACAGCAAAGGAGATGTAGCATAGAGCAATTTATTGCAAAGGAAAAAGAATATTGTGAAAGTTAGGTGCAGAATAGCCAGTACACCCTGAGAGAGGATTCAGGGCAGGCTGCTCCTGAGGATGAGACCGCCAAGACTGGCACTAGGGAGACTCCCTTTATGGGAGTCTTACGTGATTATTTATATGGGGGTGGGAAGAGCTGTTACTAGTAAGCATGTTCTGGGTGGTCCTCTGGGTGTGCACGTGCACAGTAGCTGTACATGCCTGTTCATATGTTGCATGTCTCTTTAGCATCTTAAATCTCCACCCAGGGCTGTGCTTTTTACTATTATAATGAGCAAAGGCTTAGTTTGAGGACAGGTAAAATCAAAATGCACGTGCTCCCTCCGGGGGAAATTTCCTAGCTGTGCTTGAATGAGCTTGACTACATTGTGAATGCTGGGGCTTATTGTGTTAACCATACATTCGCCACAGTTGCCAAATTCCAAGGACATGTTAATTCCTTGACTACCTATCCTGCCTCAAAGAGAGATGGGTAATTGAAATGAATTTGTAAAATATCAATCCCAGTTATTCTTTTAGCTACATTTCATATACTACATATTTGCTAAAGTGGTCTTAGTCTTTTAGAACAGATATTAAAAAGTGAATGTTTGACTTTAATATCTACAGTCATCAAATATTCTAATAAGAAAAGTTAAGGTGTACAACTCTCCTAACTGTAAATAAAGCCATAAATCAGGAGCCCAGTGGTTGAGAGTGTGGACTCTGGAGTCAGACTGCCTGGGCTTGAAAGCTGGCTTCACCACCTTGGGCAGACTCCCCAGCCTCTCTGTGCCTCAGTTTCCTTATCTCTAAAACAGAGATAATGATAGTTTCCACTACATAGACTATTGTGAAATAAGTGCAAGACACTTAAAACAGTCCCTGGCACATTGTAACAAGTAGATATTAATGGTGGTGATAGATAATGATGGATGATAATTATTTTGTGTGTCCGAACAGTGTATTTTGTTTTGTTCACTTTTTCCACTTTATCCTCTCACAACCCTTATATGTCAAAAACTAAAAATTGGCCAGGCACCGTGGCTTATGTCTATAATCCCAGCAGCGTGAGAGGCCAAGGCAGGCAGATCACCTGAGGTCAGGAGTTCTAGACCAGCCTGGCCAACATGGTAAAACCCGTCTTTACTAAAAATACAAAAATTAGCTGGGCGTGGTGGTGAGCGCCTGTAATCCCAGCTACTCGGGAGGCTGAGGCAGGAGAATCACTTGAACCCGGGAGGCAGAGGTTGCAGTGAGCCGAGATTCTGCCACTGCACTCCAGCCTGGGGGACGAAAGTGAAGCTCCGTCTCAAAAAAAAAAAAAAAAAAAAAAAAAAAAAAAAAAAAAAACACGAAAAATTTACTCTCTAGCTCTTACAAATGTGCAGTCATGCTTCATTTAATGACGGGATTCCATTCCGAGAAATGCATCCTTAGGTAATTTCATCATTATGTGAACACCATAGAATGTACTTACACAAACCTAGATAGTACAGCCTACTACAAACCTAGGCTAGATGATAGAGCCTATTGCTCCTAGTCTACAAACCTGTATAGCATGTTACTGTACTGAATACTGTAGGCAATTGTGACACAGTGTTAAGTATCTGTGTATCTAAACATATCTAAACATGGAAAAGGTACAATAAAAATATCATTACATAATTATATGGGACCACCATCGTATATATAGTTCACTATTAACCAGGACGTCATTATGCATCACATGACTGTATTTTAAGATCCTTTATTAATCTGATATAATATTGTTAATTCCTGAATGAAAAATATTTACAGAGATCTTGTCCTCTTCTAAGTTCTAAAATAATACCATTATATTTACCGATCAGTAAATAATGGGGTAAATGTTAGCTTCAAATTAAGTATGTTGTATACCTGTCACCAGTGTAAGGCTGAATATTACCATGTTGTCATAGGCAAAAACTACTGGCCAATCCATTAATTAAATTCTGATTGTACTTTTGTTAAGGTTATTTGTTTTATATAAAGTGATAAGCATTCATTTTGTTTCATATTAGCAATCCAGGCTCAGCCATTTTAGACATATGGTATTACTGAAATGACTTTTTAGAATTAAAATCTACCCAGTGATTTCTCAATAGTTCCATACCATGAAATTTACTACTTATTTTTCTAATCTCTTATTTTCAGTGAAGACACATGTATTTTCAGGTATCTAAATATATAATTAACAAAGGTATAGGAAATTAACATTGTAGCAATTGCTTCATGTAAGTACTAAATGTATGCTTTTTCTGAAATGGTATTGTTGGTTGTTATTATTAAATCTATATTTCAGATTTGAAGTTAATTAATATTAATATTTTTATTTATGAAGTAAGTATTTTGAAATGCAAACCACTTTTATAGGTAAAATTTGGGTAGTTTTTCCCCGAAAATAAATTTAAAGTAACAATCTTCTTTGGAGGGGACAAAAATTCATTAACTGAATCATCTAGTTTGTTCTGATTTACTTAAATTATTTAATATTAAAAATGTGAATCCCTTATTGTGATTTTTTTTCTTTAAAGTTCCATCACTATCCATAATTTAAAGTTTCCACTTGCTCTTAAAGTTTGTATGATTTCAGGATTTCTGTATAATTTTTAAACTTTAATGTAGTTTTTTCTAAAAATGGTTCTATTTAAATGGAAAGTGGAATCTTGTCCTTTTTACTGGGGGAAGGGATTGCTACAGATACACACTACCTTTTAATTATCGATGTAGATATGATTGGATATAATTAGTAAAACTTTATCAATAAGAAAGGTGGAAAATACAGGATACTACAAAATAGAAGGAGAAAATTTATGTAAATTATATTTTATCACTCTTCTGGTTCCAGTTATAATTGAAGTGTCTCATTAGAAAACTACTTTCCATTGTATAATATATCAAGTATAATAAGTTAATAACATACCAATATTTTAATTTCCCATTGTAACTTTTATTTTGCCACAGAATATGCAGTATGGGTTTTTGGGGAGAGTGAGAGAGTTTCTTTCTTAGGAATATTGAATTACCATGCTGCATTTTATCAGTCTCACAGGCAATTCACTTATCAAGTAGTTATTTAATTGAGTATAGGCTTCTTCAGACAAACTTTAGAAACCAGAATGTTCAGATAGTAATTTCTCACCAGTTTAAAGATAGCGTCTGTCTTCATGGATTTATTTCTGGGGCGTGTGGCAGTTTTAATTTGATAGAGTAATTTTTTATATAAACGAGGTTACAATGTACTTGAAAATTCACCAATTGCTTCACTTTCTTTTCTGATGCTGTCTTTTTCTTAGGGTATGTATATTAAATCTACATATGATGGCCTCCATGTAATTACTGGAACCACAGAAAATGTAAGTATTCTAACCTTTCAAATTTTTAAGTGTGTTTTTCCCTTTTATTGCTAACAACTTATATATCTCACATGATTGAGGTTAACATCTAAGGATAAGGACATGAACAGATAGTAGATACAATTTAAAAGAGATACTGAGTTAGTAGCATTCATTCTGTTCAAATTTCCCTTTTTTTTTGTTTAGAATAGCTGTTTACTTAAAGTAAATCAGGTGTTTTCAGCCAGAGATTTGTCTTTGTATTTTCTGATTCATGACAAGTTATTGTGACATCTGAAAGAATTCATTTCCATCTGTCAAATGATTTGGTTATTTAAAGAAACTAAACTCATGCGAGAAATAAATATCAGATAAGTCAGGTTTTCTGAATACTTCCAGTATAATTCAGCTTAATTCAGTGGAAGGGCAGCATGGTATAGCTGAGTGGTTTTCACAGTGACATTCCTGGACACCAGCATTAGCCTCCCTTTGGAACTTGCTATATATGCAAACTGTTAGGCCCTACCCCAGACCTACTAAATCAGAAATTCTGGAGACCAGCCTATTTCTTAATAAGAGATTCTATTTTAACAAGTGAATCTGAGGCATATTTGCGAACCACCATAAGCAGTGGGCCAGAAGTCCACAGGCCTATGTCTTTACAACCAGTTCTGCATCTTAATGGCAGTGTAATTTTGGGCAAGACATTTAACCTCTCATTGCTTCAGTTTCTTCGACTATAATTGGAAACAAATTATCTGCACTACATACCTCACTAGGTTGTAATGAAAATTAAATAAGCTAAGAAAAGGCCATGCTATAGAGAACTATCTGTGTTATAGAGAGAAAAGCATGAAGTGATCATGCTGGATATTATTAACATGATCAGTGTGATAGAGGTGAACAGCATAATACATCATCATTCTTGCATTTGGTTATTTCAGATTTCCATTCTATTATTATATAAGCAGGTACTGAGCTTTGAATGTATTTTTTTTTTATTTTAGAGATTCTGCCAATTGCATGCATATGCAGTGCTCTTTTAAAGAAGACTGAGGTGGAATTAGTTCAATCTCAAATTATTATTGATCTGAACATTTTACCAGCATTTTCTTTTTAAAAATCAACATTCTTTTCATCTAATTCCCCTATGTAATCACTTACTGATATTTTTCCTTGCTTCTCTTGGTTTCTTGTGAAAGGTGAAACATATATATTTGCAGTTGGAGTGCAGGAGCAGCTTCACATTTGGTATTAAATATGAGAGTCGTAGGGATCAAGAATATCAGTAACATGCATATTATGAAGATTTTAACAATTTTAAATGCAGTTAAGATGCTACAAACTATATGCTTGTCATCAATTGTTCATTCTGATTTATTTATTCATTCATGTATTCATTTGTTCATTTAACAGACCTCTGCTTCATGTCTGCTATGTTTCAGGCATGGTGCTAGGTATTGGAAGAATTTTAAAATAACTAGTTTGGTGCCATCAAGGCGTGGAGAGCATGTGGGGGTTCATCTTTATAAACAGTAGTGTAATTTGCATGGATGGACAAAGGGAAGAATAGTAAATACTGCCAAGTGAAATCAGAGAAAGAATCACAGAAATGGTTATTTTGAACTGTATCTTGAAGAATTGGTAGGAATGGATCTCTATATTGTCTCAGGTCTGCAAAAAAATGTGGAGCACTGTCTTGCTCATATTACTCACTAATGTTTCATAAATAGATAAGTGATCAAAAGAGAGATTGAGTCTGGGAGTAGTTCAGATATGAACCATATATTAATAGTTCATCTTTTGATTCTTTTTTTTCTTAAAAATATTTAAGTATTTTTGGTAACCTCAGTCATTTATAATTAGGAGATCTGTCTTGAGTCTTAGTAAAGCTGCTCACTAGAGTGGGTAAGTTATTTTGCTTTGCTGTGCCCTAATTTCTTAGTTTTCTTATATGTGAAATGAGGCATTTGGACAAAATTCTATCTCTAGGATCTCTTTTAAAACTAAAAATCTATAATTTATATGACTTCTTTACTTACCTGTGCAAAATGTTTCAGTTTCTTTGAATTTTATATACTATCATTTTCTTCTACATAATGACTAGAGCCATTTGCTCGATATTTTTTCCATACTTTCCTTTAAAAGGATCAGTTGTGAACCAAATACCACAGGAACCAACTATAGTTACAAATATATTAATGATTTACAATCTTTTCAGAATTGTTTCATGGTACTTGTCTGACTTGGTAATATGTCCCCCTCCTAAAGGTGCTGTGAGATTAAAATATTATATTATTGTTATGACTCTATTCTTAGAGTTTTTTATTGTAGATTGATCTATCCCCTTAATAATGTAATTGTGTTATTACTTCAGTAACTAGAACTCCCTGGTATGTTGTCTTATCTTGAATTATAGCCTATGACAAATAATTTTATTGTGAATTTTAAAAATGTGTTGAATGGAGGTTAACATTGTTTCAAGACTTCTATGTTTTAAAAATAATTGGAAATGAATAAAAAACAAACTGGAAATCACTTTTAAAGTATGTCCTACTCCAGGGTCTCAAAAGTAGCATTGTACTTTGCAGATTACATTACCATATTCTTCTTCTTTAGCTTTCAGTAGATAATAACGAAGAGTATCACAGCATTTATGTTTGTGTGTGATAGATAAACACATACACATCTATCTAGACAAATACATTTTTATAAAAATGGATTTTCTATATATTCAAAAGCATATTAAAATGCATATAATCAATAAGTAGCTAACAAGAAAAATATAATATTTTAAATTCATTACTCAGACCTGCAATATAAAATTTCTATCTTAAATCTCATTTTAATTTCCTAAAAACTCCTTAAAACTTGTCAGTATTAGCTTACCAAGTTTGTTTGTTTTTGTTTTTCATCCCTTTTGGGAATAAAGGAAAAAAGTGTTAGATTATTGCATTCTATAGAAATATTGGCATTTTAGTTCATTGAATGTGGTTTTACTGTCCAGTGTATTACACTATATGTAACATGAGAAATAGCATCCTCTTATAACTAGACACTTAGCATGTTATGTAATATGATTTGAACTAATTGCTGTCCATCTTTTAATTTGCTTTGCTAGATTATTCAGAATTGGTGTTACTGATGAAATAAATTAGCAATTTAATTATCAAACTTCAAATCTTTGATGCTGATCATATTCATGTACTTGAAATGGATTTGTTGAAGTTAATGTGAATTATTTATATCAAATGGAAAGGATCACAATACAAAAAGATATAATTTTTTGAAATGCATTTTTGAAGCACTTACCCACTAGAGCCTAGGAGAGTTGCTTGTATAAAGTTTACAAAGGTTAATACCAATTATCATTTTTTCATAATGCTCTCAGAAACGTGTTCTTTTATAATAAATATCTATATATTATTTTGCATTTCTGTTTGTTGTCATTAGCTATGCATAGAATGCAAACTATTTTTTATTAATTTTTTTCTTTCTATGTTTATTTAACTGGCTCAGCAGGTAAAAACAGTGTATTAAATACTAATAACCGTGTTTATTGCTTTAATTCCTTGAAATTTTTAATTAATTTTTAAATCTAATTTATGGAGATGAACTTTTTGTAGTGTTTCCAGAGACAGGAAATGACTGATAAAATTTATGTTCTTTATCGTTTCTTTTATATTAAATTCAGTCACCTGCAGATCGGTGCAAGAAAATCCATGCTGGCGATGAAGTGATTCAAGTTAATCATCAGACTGTGGTATGTATAATTAACTTAAGAGTCAGTGGGAGGAACTAATTTTGATTTGCTAAAGCTTTAAAAGAATGCCAATGAAATGAAATTCCTGTTTGTATACAAAATATTGAACAGCCTTTTGAAAAAATAACTGAATATTTATTCTTCTTAATTATTTGATGGAACGTAAAGCATTTTTTTAAAAGAACCTGAAGAGCATTGGTGGTGGTTGAGGTTAGATATACATTTCTGTATGGAAAAGTACTAGATAATAGTATATATTCCATGAACTGGAATAACAATTTTGGAATAGAAATTAAAGTGACAGTATGTATAAATTCAACCTTTTCTTGATACAACTTTTTGAAAGTTTCATTTTATAAATTATTGAATTACCTAGTAGATGTTTTATAACAGCATACATCCATTTATCTAACATTGATTTGTTCATTAAAGTATCTGGTGGTTTTGGGGGGAGTATTTTAAATGTAGATCTTTGAAAATTTTAAAATTTTTAATAGCTGAATTAGCTTTTTATTTCCTAAAAGAGGACAACAGTTTTCATTTTAAAAAATGTTCTTGCCCTATGAACCTCACAAATCCCTTTGTTATCTACCCTTAAAAATCTACAGTAGGCACAGAATCCCACTGCCATTTTTTATAATAGTGGGATTCTGTGCCTATTGTAGATTTTTAAGGGTTATTTTTCTTAAACTTAGGTTTAGAAAATGAACATTATATGCTTTTCATTTTGGACTATTTTATATGTCTCAGTTGATTCACTTTTTTCCACTCTCTCTGCCAAAATAAAGTATATTTGTTATCTTAAAAAGTTAAAATAATCCAAAATTATTAATATCATAACTCATTTGAAAAAAGGCAGAGTTTTTATTAGTATTCTGCTCCTCGCTTACTAACTCATCAGAGTGAGTAATTATTTCCTATTACACAATTTAACTAAATTTGCTTTTGCATGTCCTAGTGATGGAAGAAATTTTGTGAAAAACCTGATTTTTCTCAGTGATTCTAATCATAAGGCAAATGACATTTCAATTTTGGTTTTGAATAATTTGAGAAGTCTGTGATATTTTGGAAAGGCTCCTAGACACTGATAATTAAAGCCATGATGTCTCTTCAATAAGTTCATTATCTAAGTGAAGTAAAAGTTGGTAAACGTTTTCAAAATTAAATGCGTGGGTGTACCTTTGACACTGAATAATAGAGTGTTGGTAGTAGACAAAGCCTTTCCACACTATGACAGTTTTGATGGCTTTCTTTTCTGATTACTAGAAACTGTACAAAGTAGTTGTTCTGACTGAAGTTTCCTGTCCCATAGGATGAGGATTTGGGCAGTGGGATAAAGCAGCTGCTTCAGTAGACGAGTAGCTTTTCCCTCTTCTAATGTTTATGCTGCTTCCATTTCTGCAATGTGACCTTAACAAACATGACATCTGTTGAATAGTTTCAGCATGCATTTCCAGATGGTCATTAAGAGGATAGAGATTAGTCTCTAATAAAAATAAAATTATTTAAAGGATATTGTTTGTGGAACAAAGATACTGGTGTTTATGAAATGAATATGAAAGCCTTTGAAAGTCTACAAATAAACTAATAAAATCTATGTGGATTGGTGACATTTAAATACACCTAGAATGTGTAAATGCATCTTTACATCACAGGAATATTCTAAAATATTGAAAACTACACAGAATGATCTTTGGGAAAACTTGGTTCCAGCTCTTGCTCTGAAATTGACTTATGGCTTTAAGTGAGTCATGGTAACTGTGCATCTGTTTACCTTTTTCTAATGATAATAACCATAGCTAACACTTATTGTGTTCTTACAGTGTGCCAAGCATCATGTTAAGTATTTTACATATTTTATTTCATTTAGTCCATGCAATAATCCTGCAAATAAGGTATATGTAGAAATTGAGACTCAGAATAATTATTCAGCTCACCCAAAACTCAAAGTTCTTTGACTCTAAGACCCATGTTCTTACTTCAATTTTATTATACTCCCTCCCAAAACTCAAAAATTATATAACTATCCAACAAAAGAGGAAGAATCCTAACAAGCATGTAAGTAAATCTCAGGATTCAATGAAAGATTAAGTGGGGCCAAGGTAGGAGAAGAAGAAAGGAAGTGAGAATTTACATAGCTGGGATAGCGAGCCAGCTGAACTGAAATTAGAAATAGGGTTGAAACTTAACTTTACTGCCACTTCCTCACTCTGCTTCTTTCACTCAGATAAGTAAGATATGTAAAAACACCTGTCATAATGCCGGGCACACATTAGGAGCTCAATAACAACTTTGCAACCGCCTTTCTTCTCTTTTACCTGCTACAACAGTTGGACCAATTGGAATCCTCCTTCTTGGCATACTGCTACTAGAGCCAACAAATTGATTTTGGAATATAATAGAGACAAGATAGTATGTTGAATTTCATGAAAGTAGACTTTTTTAATAATATGATCGGTTGCCAGGTTTTTTTGTGTTCAAGTAGAGGCATATTTGGGCAAAACCAATGCATTTCACTAAATGTAGCCTACTCTGCCCTCTTTTTCTTGCTGTTGCCTGTATTGTGGTCTGTACAGTGCATTTAATCTCTTATTAGATAATATACAGAGGTGGTGAAATGGAAATTCTCTTAATTGAAGCAAGTATAAATTATTTATAGTCTGCAATTATCCCTTCTCTCCCTACGTTCATTACCATAGGGTTTGGTTATGATATAATAGTTACATTAAAGTATGGCCTAATAAATTTGAAATACATAACTAATATTAATTCTCTAATCCATTAATTGACTAGAATAGTGAGATTGCCAGTATTGTTCCATACCAATTTAGACTCATTAATGAAAAGAACAATGTTAAATCTTATAATTTTGGATGATACTAACCCAGTTAGTATTTTTCTGTAATTCTAAAATTTCCTATGACTATAGGTAGTAATGTAAAATATAAAATCTGATATTTTTCTTTACTTAAGATAAATACAAAAATTATTTTAAATATTTCCCTAAGAGTCTAAGAAAGTTGAATAAATCAGATGAATTCAAATACTATTTTTTTAAATTGCTAGTATGGTATATCTTCAAGATGTCTAATTAGATGCCTATGTTTCTAGTTTGCTCCTTTTTTAAAAGTATTTTCTTAATTGAAATGAAACTGGAAGTTTTATGTCCTTTTTCATGTTGCTATATTCTCTGTTATAAGTGGCTTTTAAGTTTTTCAAACCAACATACTTCTGTGGCTGAGAAACTGTGGCTGCCAGATAGGAAGAAGAAAAAATCATGAACATCCAAGCAAAGCAGACTGAGTCTTATTACATGTCTTCCCCACCATTGAAGATCCAACTCCTCAAAGGCTGCTGGAATCTCCCAAGATTTTTTCCACTTCATCTGCCACTACATCCCTCTCTCTGGGAGATACCTCGGCATAGTTTGATGCAGCAACTCTGCCCTCATGATGCACTTTTAACACATTTTTTTAGCTGATGAGACTACTTATAGTTATTAAAATTATTGGGGCATATTTATAATCTGTTCAATTTCATGTTAATACTGTTTTTGGTGTGCAAAGGGTTCTAAAGATTCTATCCATACTAAAAACAGTCTCGGGAATATCACTTGAGAAGAGTGGCATATATGATGGTTGAATCTATTAACAACATTTGGAAGTTTTTCCTTTTATTTTGTATTAATATTAAAACATATTCACTGTTATTTTGAAAGATATTCTGGAACCTGATGACTACATTATGGAAAGAAATGTTTCAATAGATGAGGCTATAAAGGATACTGGAATGGAAAATAACCAGGTTGGGATAGTCAAGAAGAAGATAGACTGCAGCAAATAGGATGTTCTACATTGATTAGTGAGAGATGGAAGATAAGTACTATAAGCTAGTGGTTTTTGTTACCTCCAAAATGATAAACATTGTTGAGCAAGACTAAGGATGGCAGAGAGTGTGGGAGGAGGGAACAGATTGAAGGACTATCTCAAAACTTCCTCTAACTTCATTTATGCGTCTCCCTTACTCTCACTGTTGTCTCTCATTTTGGACTCTGTCCTCACTCTCTTGTTCCTTCAACCCCAGAACAACAGGAGAATATTGTTCAAAGGAGAAGCCAACATAATCAGAATGGATAGAGAGTGTGGTATCCCCTTAATATTCATCTCTCCTTTTCCCTCCCTCTCAATTTACCTCCTTCCCTGGACTTCAGCAGAAATGAATGAGTCATTGAGTGGAATCAATACCATGATATTGTCTAACAGCAGATGTACTTTCTTTCTCTTTTTTGATTTGCTAAATTGTTGTCTTTATTTTTTTGGTTTTTTTCTAATTCCATTTTCTTTTCTTTATCATTCTCATCTCTTCTCACTGGACTATTTCTCCTCCACTCTTCATCTCATTAAGTTTTCTTTGTTCTTCCCTATTTTCTTCTGTTCTGCTTTCTCAGAGGAGAAAGTATTTATCATATAATTCCATATACCTAAGATACTGAAAACTGAGACCACAAGAGGCAGTGTTTCTGGTGTACCCCACATCTTATTCCTGTAAACACACATGTTGCTGGACTACAGAGATTAATTATGTTAGCATGGTGTTTAACATATTGCTTAATAAATAATGGGTTCTTATAATAGCCTAAAATAACTATGTTAGGATTCTGTGAAATCAGTATTCTAAAATAGAACAAGTGAATCATTCTCTTTTGGGAGGGGGAAAAATTATGAAGAGACATATACCAAAAATTAAGGAAATGATGCATCAATGATTTTAGTTACTCATAATAATATTTTATTTCAGATTCTACCTTATGTAGTGGTTTATGAGAGCTTCATAGATTGTTTTTCTTTTATTTCACATTGAACATTATGGATTTGATGAGAATGTGTGGAAACTGGTTTTGAAGTGATACGTATTGATATAAACTGTATTTTTATTTTGTACAGAGAAATCAATTTATTACTTTATCATCCAATATAATATTTCATGTTTCTGTTATCAAACTAAAATTTATTATCTTAAGTCCTTATATAAAGGAGATAAATTGTATGATATCTCAATAATAGTTACTTCCTGTTAACCAATTTATTTTCTCTGCAGATCTCTGCATCCTGATTTGTTTCTTTCTTATTTGTGCAGTTCTTACTAGCTTTACCAGGAAGAGTAGTTGCTTTTTTAAAATGGTTACTGTTTCATTTTTTATGATTAAACTTTATCTTTCAGTGTCAACGTGGTTACTATGATCTAGTTATTTTACATGGAATTTTTAGTTTCCTTATAAGTTTATTTCATGTGTTTAAAATGTATCTATTGGCTGAAGTTCTTACCTACTCTGGCTTATTAACTTATTAAGTGTATGGCTCATTTGCAAATCAGCATCATCCTCAGTCACCCCCCACCCGTTTTTTTTTTTTATCTCTTTCATAAAAGGAAGAGTCTGCCAGTCACAATTGCCCAATCCACTTCCTTTTCATATTAGGAGTAGGCAATCAGTAGATAACATTTAACTGCCTGATAAAAAATTATCACATGAAAGGGAAACGCTAAAGAACCACCATATAATAGGAAATTAAATAGATGATGGCATTAATCTTAAGTTCTTTTTAGTTTATTTAGCCCTAGGACTCAAGGATAGGTTTCATCCACTAAATTAATATTCTGATTGGCATGGTAGCTCAAATTGTAGGTAACATAGCCACTCATTACTTTTACATTTCCTCTCACACTGTCCCTTCTGCATCTTATTATCCTAATAGTGGACAATAAAGGATTTTTAAAAGTTGGAAAAATGGTATATAGAATTCACTATGGTCTCATATGGAGCTGACATTGAGTTCCTTTTTTTGTCTGAGTTGCTGGAATTTTGGTAAAGTGATTTCTAAAGGTAACTTCCACAGTGAAAATACAGCCATTACAGAAGTTTTTCTTACTAAAAATTCTATTAATAAAGATTTAGGATGATACTTTTAGCTATATATATATACGTGTGTGCTTTAGTTTTGTGTTGTGATAAATATATACATATATTGCAGTATTTGCTAAATTTTCAAATAAGCATATTTTTGTTACATGTCTGCTAGTAAATGACATTGTAAAAATCATTTATAGCAAAGTTGTACATTTTTAAACATATTACTTTTTGAATACTAGGGTTTGAGTTGCTTTTTAATTTTGTCATTTAAGTTCCTGAATTAAATTTAAGCATGAATTTTTTGTAAGTATAGATTTTCCACAAAATTATTATAAATGGGAGCTTTAACATTTTAGATAAGGATGCTTCATTTTACTCCTTAGCTTTGGTGACTGGGAGTCTTTTCTTTTTATTTCAAAATACATATTTTTCCAGCATCTTTGTAAGAAGAACAGAAATGAAATATAGGAAGGAATGGCTGAAATTTAATAACTTAATAACCCATGTAAATATCTTCATAAAAAAATTAGTTAAAGGCCTGTATTGTGGCTGAGGGCGGTGGCTCATGCCTGTAATTCCAGCACTTTGGTAGGCCAGGGTGGAGGGGGATTGCTTGAGGCTAGAAGTTCAAGACCAGCCTGGGCAACATAGCGAGACCACGTCTCTACAGAAAATTTTTAAAAATTAGCCAAGTGTCGCAGCATGTGTTTGTAGTTCAAACTACTCAGGAGGCTGAGGCAGGAAGATCACTTGAGCCTAGAAATTCAAGGTTGCAGAGGGCTATGATCGTGCCACTGCACTCCAGCCTGGGCAACAGAGTGAGACTCTGTCTCAAAAAAAGAAAAACCTGTATTATTATGGTTATTTTAAAATATGTTACTGCTCTTTTGGGGACTGAGGTTCTACAGTATGATCAGAGGTTTACATTACAGCTTTACCTTTCACTACAATGTAATTGTCTTCCTCCTTTTCTCTCTTTAGCAAAAGCTTTCAGACCCATTCAGTTTTATGTTTTGATGAAGTAAAAGGACATTGTGAATGATGCTGAAATAAAAACAAAATTGGCTTTTAGTTTTCTGTAGCATATATGAATGAAAACCATGAAACCTCCGAAATAAACCTTAAGCCTTGAAAGACCACAGCATTACCAAATGCCATATTGGAAGGGGAGAAGGAAAAGTGAGCTGTATGTTCAAGATGCTGAACTATACCCACAGCTTTGGAATCAGCTTATCACAAAAGTCAAGACACCAACTATACAAAGTCCGCAGTTAATATAAGTGATAGGTTACAGGAGATAGTGCAAGTAACAGGGTATGGAAAGTCACCACCTTTGGTAAAACTATGTGGGTGATTCATAAAACTTACATGAAAAATTATTATCACTATTTTCTTTCTCCCATGAACTTCGTTATGAGTCAATCAAGAAATTCTGATTTAGCTCTCAGAACTTCTTGAATGTGGGGCAAAAAGATTCCAGGGGAGAAAAAGTGCTAGCTTCTTGTAGTGTTTGAGTTGCCTCTCTCTCTTGGACTCTCTGTCCATCTTTAGCTGTGAGAAATTATGTTCTCTGTTAGTGCTTTCTTTTTAAATACTACATATTTATACACACACATTATATATGCACACATATTCATAACTGTGAAATTCACATTAAGATATTAAGTATTAAAAAAGATATATGTAAATTCAGATTGTTAGCAGCTCAACATGGTCTAAGTTTTACTTTGAAATTAAGCCACGTTAAAAAACCAAATGCCTTGATGTACTCTTATTTCACTGGATAAGTGCCATTTAAAGTTCAGGAGGATGTGAGATGAAGAATGGCTCAATGAATAAAGACATTAAATTGTCGGCTTTTTTTCTCTAATGAAAATAAAATCTTTCCCGTATTTCTTCTTTTCAAATGTTTGTTCCTTTTATCTTTTCCCAAGACTTTCTTCGAATCATGTTTATAAAAATATCAACACTAAAGTTTTATTTAAAATAGGTAAACCTTGGGACATTTCTGAATACTCTGAATTACCTATTTAAGTTACTCTAAGCTAGGGTTAAAAATCACTTATTTGCATAGTTCCTTAACCACTGCATACACATTAGCTTATATTCCTTTGTACCTGAACCATGACTAATTCTTTATTTCTGTTCAGTGAATAAATGACTGTGAAAGAACAAAATTAAGATATCTCCAAATGTAGTAGACTTTAATATTGTAAGACTTTTTTTATTAATATTTCATGGGAAAAAATTAGGTGAAGATGGATTTCGTAGATTGGTACTCATTATTTAATAGTTTTAGAATCTTTGAAAGGCACTGTATATCAAAATTCATTATTTCTGAAATGTTTATAACAGTATGCTATTTCCTTCACATAGATTGTTTTCCCAAAGAAAGAGGTAGTCATTGGTATAAAATGTTTAATTTATTAGATACTTCAGTATCTTTTTAGTAACACAAAGAAACAGAACATTATAATAAATATGTCAGCACCAAAAAATTTGGCAAAGACTGAGTGTCATTAGTGGCAGTATGATGGCTTGTGTGTTGAATTAAGTCTCTTCAGTGCTCTTAAAAAGAGCAGGAGGATATTTGGGTGTAGCATGACTCATATTACCAGACATTCATATAGGCATACTTCTAGTCTATAAAATTTCCTTTGGGAAAAGGTATCATCTACATTACATCCTGTGAGTAAGAGTGTGTGTATACACAGGAGTGTGTGTAAATGTTGATAATGAATCTGTTTCTTTGTCTTGTGTAGGGTAATAACTTTGAAAATATTTTAAGAAATGTTCTATCTTCCTGCCTGTGGGTGTAAAGATGCTCTCTTGCAACTCCAAATATAGCCATGAAAAAAGGTAAAAAAAAAGGTCTGGGTTGATAGGCTTAAATTCTTACCTTTATGTTTATTTGTAACTGGCTACTTGGGACCATAGAGTAGAAATTATCTTTTCATATGTTAGTCAAATAACTCACCAGCTGTTATTTGGAAAGCAGACCAGGGCAAGTTCTAAAGGGGTCAGAGACAACTTCTTCCCTCTATGTACTGAGGGGAAAAGAAGCCTATCATCTCTTCAGCACCAACCCCAAAGCCTCTTGTGCACCTAATCCAGGCAACCAATTTTCCAGGACCTGCCCACTTATGTTGTCCTTCACAAAGGAACACCTGCTGTCTGCTTCAGCCTGATCAAAACAATTACAAGCCCCATCCACAAGAAAGCAGAACCTCTGGCTTTTAGCACTTGGGATTCCTTAATGACCTTCTTGGGAAATTTTAATCCTGTTTATGTTGTGTGTAAAATACATTTTAATGTACATGTTGGGGATTATATATAAATTAGTAAGCTATATGACTTGCTGTTGCTTGTAGGCACTGACTTCTGCTACCTTGGATAATGAAGAAGATAATAGTAGTTCAGTGTATGTGAAAAACATTATAGCTAATAATAAGACATTTGTGTAAAAATGCATATGGTGGTTTTATAAAGGTTCATTTTAGCCCATGAAATTAATGTGAATGAATTACTCTATTAAAATATTGATAAAGCACTACAAAATATTTTTCTGGAAAAAACACCTTCATAACAGTGTTTATATGATGCATATGATAAAGTAAAATTTTTCCAGGACAAATAGGATCTATACCCACTGTTCTTTTCCTTGTTTTAATCACATCATTATGACTTTAGGTCTGGAGTATTCAAGATAGAAATGTTTTTTCAAAGGTTCATTTATAAGGAGAAAGTTTATTTGAAATTTTGAGGTACAGAATGTCTATTACAGCTTTAGTATCAAGTATTTTACTTTTTTGGATGAGAGGTCATTTAATCTTTTATGCGACAAATTTTAAGTATATTACATATAAAAAATATTTTAATACTATATCTTGGTTTTATGTACAAAACTAAACCCTCCTTTCGAGTTTCAAGGCCCTTTATTGTCTCTGAAACATTTACATCATCATGTCACCATATCAGCTCACTAGTCAAGTTATGCAGTATGCCGTGAGATTCACATGAGGAAAATATGGTGTCACCTTTAAGAAGAGGCTTTATGATGGGTACTGCATGTAAGATGAACCTTTATGGATAGGTAAGATTTTATAAGTGAGAGAAAAATTACAAGCAGAGGGAAGAGTGGTTTTGCAAAGATACAGCTAAAGAGAAAAGCACAGTGTTTGAAGGAAACGTATATTCATTACTCAACCAACTCTTTTAATTATCAACTTTCTAAAAGCCTCTTATAATCATCTGAACTCTGTGTGTTTCTCCTGCCTCATTACTCCTTCCCTTGTTCTGTCATCTACGTGTACTGAACTACTGAAAGTTGCTCAAACCTGTGATACTTTGCCTCAGAGCTTTGTTTACCCCCTCAACCTCCACATCTTCTTCACCTGTCCAACTCCCAAGGAATTTGGCTTAAACTCATTGGAAACCTTCATTAGACCCTCAAGGATGGGTTAGGTGCCCCTGTTGGGGGCTCCTGTTGCACTCTGTATTCACCCTATTGAGGTACTTATCTTACTGCATTGTAACTGTTTATTGCTCCTTAATGAGGTACAGACTGTGCTGCATTCACTGTTGTATTCATACTACATGGAAGACACACAATAAATACTTAAGAGTTGTCTTAAAAACATATGAAACACCTAAACTAATCTAGACATGAGCAAGTCACTGCCTTCAAGGAGCTCATAATCTATTACAGAGGTTCTCAAATTGTGGCTCTTTAGGCCAGTAATATCAGCCTCACTTGGAAACTTGTATTAGGAAATAAAGGGTCGGGGGAGGAATTCTCAGGCCCCACTCCAGAACTACTGGATCAAAAACTCTGGGGGTTAAAACTCAGCATTCTTTTAACAAGGCTTCAAGGTGATTCTAACACATGCTAAAGTTTGAGAACCACATTGAAGAAAAGTAATCTGAGAAAAAGCTGTGATCAACTATACCGACAAAGGACCTGTTTGAGGATTGGTTATTTGTTCCTTAGTTGGGCCTTTGGAGAGCTATTAAAGGTTTTGAAGCATAGAAAACTTCTACACTGTAGCAGTATTTTGGAGCTGCAAAAGACTAGAAGCAGAAAGACAGGTTAGGATTCTGGTTTAAGTCTAGCAGTAGGTATCCAAGCCAGAACTAAGGCAGTGAGAAGAGGCATTAGTTGCTAGGATCTATTTGTTAGGACACAAAATAGATTAAAAAGAGGAGAAAAGTCATAGGTGACTCCAAACTCCCGACTTTAGAGGATGATAGGGAGGTTTTTTTGTTTTGTTTTGTTTTGTTTTCTGGTGAATGAAAGTAAAGAGATAATGAGTTTGATTTTTAAAGTCTTGTATTCATGTAAGCTACCAGTGGATATTCAAGGGAAGATACTGTGCTTTAGAATTGAAAAGACATTAATGTAAGTTCTGGCTTCACCACTTACTATTTTTGTAATCTTGGCCGAGAAAACAATCTCTTTTTGCTTCAGTTTCTACACACGTAAATTGGGTTTAATAGTTTACCTCATTAGGCTTTTGTAAGAATGAAAATATAAATAAAAAGAATGTAACATAGATATGAAGAATCTAGCACAGTGAATTGTTGATGCTTGCGATTATTCGGTAGCTATTAACGTGGACAAGCTAAACAGTTGGAAATATGACTAGAGTTATTGATAGGAAGCAGGAATGGTAGAAAGATTTGGGAATCATGCAGGAAGCTGTTGGTGAAAGCTCTTAAAAGAGATTATTGTAAGAAGACAGCATGAAATATTAGAAAGATGTGTAACACTTAGCCTAGAGGAAACAGGTACACTTATTGGTAGGGAAGAGGAAGAAAAGATGGAGGACAGGTAGGCAGAGATGTAACGGAACCATGTTATTTTACTCAAACTAATCTTTGTCATCTATTTTCATGTTTCTACCCACTCTATGTTTTAGAGTTGGAATGTATTGTGACTGAAAGTTACCTAATTATTTGACCTATGCAAGAATATTGAAACATCTCTTGGTATTGATCTATTTCACAAGTCAGCCAATTTCTTTTTTGGATATCTTTTTCTATTAGAATATTTTTCATCTCTGGACGTGGTGGTTCATGCCTGTAATCCCAGAACTTTGGGAGGCCAAGATGGGGAAATTGCTTGAACCCAGGAGTTAGAGCCCAGCCCTGGCAACATAGTGAGACTTATAAAATCTTGACTTATTGAGTACACCTGAATAATAAATTTATATTCTCTCTTGTCAATCATCAAGGTATAATGCATAGAGCAGATTTTGTTTCTCCATCACCACCTTTTAGTGTTTTAAATAGTAGTGTTGCCTTTCTGGTTCTGCAGTTTTGGTGGAAATTTTCCATCCATAACAAACAGTCCTGATTAGGTAATTCATAAAATTTATTATTTTCTAATTGGAATATTGCTATTCATACACTAGGTTCATGTATTTTGTTGGTTTATTTGTTTGTTTAGAAGAGTAACTCATGCTTATTGCCAAAAGTTTAGGAAATAAAAGTATAAAGAAGAAAGTATGTATTGCAAGTCCTTACTCCCTTTAATCTAACCACCATTAATGGTGTTTTCTATATTTATGTACATTCTTTAACAAAAGTGGAATAAAATTATGTTTGCTATTTTGGAACTTACTTTTTTCACACAATTTTTATATCCCTTACTAATGGATACATTTACATAATGTACAGGTTTTGGTTGATTTAAACAATACTGTGACACATATGTTGCACATTTATTTTTGTGCTTTTATCCAATCATTTCCTTATGGTAGTGGAAGTAGAATTTGGGAGCCAAAGATATATACTATACAGTTTTGATGTATATTTCTTTGCTCTTGTTTAAAACATTGTTAATGTCATGTGAATAATAAAAGGCTGATTTAAAAATAGTAAAATTAGATACCCAAATTTTCTGCCATTAAATAACATCAGCTGTAAAATTAAAATCCACCCAAATGAACTTTCTTGTCAGAAACCAATTCTACTTTCTGATAGAAAAGCAATTCTGTTTTTTGGAATTGTTACTTAAAAAGAGCATGTAGAAAGTGTGAAAGAATAGGATGAATCAAATTGCACTGAAAATTTCACAGGAAAATACCATCTAGCCTTAAAAATCTTCAAATTTTATAATAAGTAAAATGAAAAGAAATTGGTGAGTAGAAATCAATGTATAAATCATTGAGAATAGTTATGCTGGAAAAAAGATTGTGGCCATCACATTGACCACTTTAGTTAGCAATTATTTGAGTGAATAATTAAGTTACAAAATGTGGTTATCATTAATAAGTTGTTCCTAAACTCTTTGTATAAGTAGTATGTTTTCTCCCTCCAAACTTGTAATTCAAAGTGTGCATTCATATTTTTTTGGCAAGCAAAATGAACCCTTGGATTTGAACTCCCTTTGCTTTAACTCTTGGCTGTAGGGATACTACACAGCTATCAGAGGAATCGGAATCAATGTAATATACCTTTGGGCACATAATAGTCCCCACTTACATATAAGGGGAGGCATTTGACCAGTTCCATTACTGTAGTTGATCCACATTAATGTGATTTAAAAAAAAAAACTGGCAGTCTCATTCAGGTTATCCAAGTATAATGATCATTTTGATTCATATCTGAGACTCCCTGAGATTTTAAGTATTATAACATCTCACTTCTTGTTTGTTCTAACTTCACCAACACTCAATTCAGCTATAGTTGAGGTTGCAATTTAGATGAATGCTTATTAAATATACCAAAGTCCCCATTCTATAATAGCTGAATTCCAGATTACCTCTTCTTCATAGCCTAGGGGTCTGTGCTGCTTTTGGTGGAAGTGCTCATTCTCTCCAGCTTGACAAATATCTTCCAGGCAAAAACATGGTTATTATTAGACAAAGGGCACCAATTATCTTTAACTTGGATGCCTAGAAAGAAACTGTTATCACTGTTGAGACCATTTGCTAAATCCTGCTTACAATCCAGGATAAATTTTGACCTAGTGTATTTATGTAACACATCCTGGAAAAGTATAATCCATTAGGGTTTGGGATAAAAGGTTCTTCTCTCTTCTAAATGTGAATTTTTTTTAAAAAAAACTTGGAATAATAGACATTTTAATGTGTTTCTTTAAAGCATAGTTTCTAGGATTTCAGTTACCTGATACTGCATCACTAGTCCGTTTTGAAAGCAAAGTAACAAAAATTATTCTATGTTCAGAATTTTTAAAGGATGAAGAGTGAAGTAATTTTAACAGGGGATGCAGTTGAGCCCGATTTCAAGACATTTATCAAGTACTTTGATTTAATTACACAATATGTTTTTAGGTGATATTCAAATAGAATGGCTTCATTAAATTTAGCACGTTATATTTTAAGTTTATAGGGTTGTTTGGAACACATTCCAATAGCTGCTTCATTGGAGTAGTATTATCTTGTTATTTTTGTTCTATCTTTATAGCATGGTAAAAGGTTTATTGTATTGCTGCTATTGTCCATGCGTAAGAATGTTGCCTTGGTGTGTCAGTACCAGCTATTGGTAGTAAAATATCAGTCTAATTTAGAGACACTGGTACCACTTATCTCTAAAAGATGGTGATGAGAAAGCATGTGGTGTAGTTTGTAAGCTCAGGACATTGCCAAATCCTTGTTTTCAGGCATATAGATTTTTTAACTGTACTTGTGAACAGAGCTTGGATCTAGACCTAGCAGCTGAGCAGCATTAATGGTGACATAATTTCATTACATTCTGAATTACTCCATTGGTAGGATACCATTTTAGTCTTTGATTTGACATGGTAAATGTCCATTATGTTGTCTGGTAATGATATGGACTAATGCAATAATATGGTTAATCAATTCAAAGATAAAATTTATTGAGTATGTATCTCCTGAAAATTGATAGGATGGTACACCAATTATGTGACTTTTTTTTTTACTAATCTTATTAAAGGGGGAGAACATTAAATCTTTGAATACTGTACCTCAATTTTATTGTAATGATTTTGCTGGTTACCAGGTGGGGTGGCAGTTGAAAAATTTGGTGAATGCACTACGAGAGGACCCGAGTGGTGTTATCTTAACTTTGAAAAAGCGACCTCAGAGCATGCTTACCTCAGCACCAGCTTTACTGAAAAATATGAGATGGAAGCCCCTTGCTCTGCAGGTAATGAAGCTTAATCATAAGTCATACACCATCATTTTAGCCATAGATTATCTCAGTAATGCTTCTTTATTGTGCCTCATCTCAGCAGCATATGGATTAATCTTGTATGCTTTTGAAAAGTTGTTTGTGAAATGATCTCTTCACAGCTATTCTAATAGGCTTAATTGTGATGAAATCCTTGAGTATCTAAAACCCAAATGAAAAACAACTCTGCCTTAATTTGTAAACATTTAAAGCATAATTCCAAAATGTCACAATTTATTTCATGCCAAAATATGGATAGAATGAAAATAAGATGGTTCGTTTTTATGATATGATCTTCTATTTTATGTTATACCCACATACTCTTTTAGAAGAAGCTAAATGATAGTTTATAGAATTCTTTTAAATCAGTTCATAAAATAGTAATAGTAATTTATAAACAGTAGGAAAATGAAATGTTATATTAGTAATTAAAATGCACCTAGTCCAAACTAGGCGCAGTGGCTCACACCTGTAATCCCAGCACTTTAGGAGGCTGAGGTGGGTGGATCACTTCAGGCCAGGAGTTCAAGACCACCCTGGGCAACATAGCAAAACCCCATCTGTACAAAAAATTAAAAACTTAGCCGGGCATGGTGGTATGCGCCTGTAGTCCCAGCTATGTGGGAGGCTGAGGCAGGAGGATCATGTAAGCCCAGGAGTATGAGGCTGTAGTGAGCTCTGATCATGCTACTGCACTCCAGCTTGGGCAACAGAGACTCCATCTCTTAAAAAAAAATGTACCTTGTACATTCCTCCTGATTGATCATTTTTCTCTTTCCACCCTGTAAGGTGGCAAAAATAGGGAAATTGTTGCACTAGAATTTTTGCATTTTTCTTCAGCATGAAACATCACTCTTCAGCATGAAACGTTACTCTTAACATTGATAATATATTTATTGAGTTATCTTGAAAGTTATAAAAATATGATTCTGATTGATGAAAGGCAAGGATGTAATGATTTTTTTTCTATTTCAGTCAGGATATAATCTTTAAACTTAAGTAATTTTTGTCCTTCACGAAACGTACATTTTAAAAATAAGAGACTATTACCTTTTCTTAGAAGTTAATTAAAAAAAAATAGGCCCATTGAACTGGAACATGGCCCATTATTCATATTAAAAAGGAAAGCAGTATATGAAATGCATTGTTGTCACTGCTATGTAAATTGTTATTAAGCTCTATGTTAGTACCTTTTATTATTCATAGATTTTTTTTCCTAAGAATCAAAATTCTCCATTATACATGAATGGCTTTATAGATTATAATGATTTTTCATTGTTTAAAACTTTACTACTTATTGGCCGTTGGCATTATACTTAATATAAAAACACATATATGTGTCAACATTATGGCCTTTAAAATTTTAATGTGAATCTATTTTTCAAGTTAATATATGTAAAACTGTATTAATATGTCCAAATCCATTTGACTTGCATATATGTTTATTTTAAAAGATACTTGATGATCATTACAGTTCAGAGGTCAATGTTTGCCTCATTATCTAAGTCATAGATGAGTAGATCAGACTTTCCCATTACATTATTTTTTTTCACTGCATTATAATTTGCTTTGCTCCCCCTAGAGTTTCCTATTGCCATGTCTTCCCTAAAGATCCTTCTTCAAAGTGTAAGGGTGTGGGAACCCTGAAAAAGAGGCCTGTATTTTCAGCCAGTAGGTTTTCTTCTCTGTATATGTGAGTGAAATTTAATACCTCTTCTTTAGTCCCTCATATTTCACATTAAGCACCAAAAATACCCTAGTTTCTTGTTGATCCATGCACTCGGTTTGAGGGAATATCTCTAGCACATGCTTTTATAATCTATTCCCCTGTTATATTCTTTTCCACATGCACAAACTGAAGTGGAGAGTTAAGGTAATGGCAGTACCCAGTTAAGAATCATTTTCATATAAAATGCTAAAATAATTGAAAGACCAACTTTTTTGTTACATATACATTGGGTGTAGGTATTCAAACCTAGAGAAAAAGGACTTTAATTTTAAAAATTACGTCATGTCATTCCTTACCCTGTAAGTGCCTTACTCTTCAGGCACTATTTCTAGATCCATTCCAAATTCTGAGAAATGTGCCTCATCAGATCACTAATTATTTTTATTTGTCATCGCTTATTCAGCTATGCTGCATGTATTTGTAAATTTACTTTTTCAAAATGCTGAAATCTGAAAAAGAGGAAATCAGCATTATATAAGTGCTGTATATATTGACATTTTTCTAAATTTGTCATTTCAGCTGAATTTGGTTCAACTAAAAGCTATTGGCCAAAGTCAACCATCCGTAGATAAATAATACTATTGGTTGGGGGAGGGGAGACTGCTTCTAACATTTTTGAAAATTACTTCAGTTGTTGCCTTTTTACAGAGCAGAGGAAAGAGTATTGGTGTTAATTAAATATTTTCTAGTGGCTAAAACAAGGTCTTAGGAGTGAGGACAATGGGTAAGTCCTCTAACATACCGCACCACTACCGAATCTCCCTGATGAAGAAGACCTGAAATTGAACCATTACAGAATTCTTCATTGATCTTAAAGTTCTGGCTTATGCTAAAATGCAAAGACACCTGAAAGCATAATGAAAACTAGTCAAAATTTTTATAGATTATAGATTTTGGTACAGAAGATGGACAAAATCTCAAGGTACCAGGATCTGGAGGGTGAAGGTACACTGCCTCCAGAGCAGGAAAAGTTAAAGAAATAGTGAGATGAAAAGATCTTGAAGGCAGTTTTTCATAACATCATGACTTTATCTGAGGTCACCTTTTCTTCATAGTACCTAAGGAGCTACCTCAGATGTGAAACGTAACTGCTAAATGTAGTAACAATCCTCTACATAGACAGGAGTGCCATTTTTATTGTATTCTTCCTTCTGGTAGGTGCAGAAATACACTGGAGCCAAAATGCCCATCAGCTCATCCAAATACAAATCTTCAGCATTCAAACTTGAAAAAATGGAAATGAGGTTATTTCTTTTTTCATAGGGTGTACCAGTAGTCTACCAAGAATTATTTAGAATAGAGGATACAAAAGGAAATAATCTGTGGCGTTTATTTAACTCAATATGTCTATTTAACCTTTTTGAAAATACTATCCCAGGCTTAATTTACCTGATAGCATTTATAGATTAAAATATAGGAAAGTTTGTAGTAGTATGGAGGTAGGCACTGATACATGTATCTTTTTAATAAACAAGTTTATCCTAACATAAGGAATAATGATTTTTTAAACTTATAAGGAATCGTTTTTATCTATACAAATAAAACAACCTTATCTATCCTAAGATAGAAGATTGTCAAAGAATACCACGTTTTAATTAAAGTAGTAGTTTTATTTCTAAAAATACTAAAAGCATAGTGACTTCCAATATTGATTAACTACAATGATGAATTTTGATTTGGATTTTCTTTTGAAATTCATTGATGAAATTATAGCCAAATAAACAGAAGCATACAATTCAACTTCATGCTCACAGAGCAATTTCATTAGTACATTTCATTAAATTGGCAGCTCTTTTGATGAATTCCTGATTTCTCAAATATTTTGTGATAGAACGTAAGGACTTAACCATCCCTTAGTCAAATACTACAAGCAAATTTAATAATATCTGGAAGCTTTAATTCTGTTGTCATTTTCACCCATTTGTAAAAACAGAGATGTCTCATCTGAGATAGAATCTCTTATTCTAAGAAAAACCAGGGATTCCTTGCTTTCTGAGAGCTGCTTTTCAAAACATCTTTTCAGTGGCACTCTACTAATTTCCTGCATTTTGGTAGGCATGGTGATTGCTTATCATCAATTTCTTCTAATTCAATGAAAAAAAAACAAAGAATTGTGGATAAACCTCAAGGTATATTTTTAGATGTTTGTGGTTTTAAATTAATATGTGTAGGCCAAGAGCATAGATGGGTGGTGTCCTTTTCTTCTTATGAGAGATGTATGGAAGAATTATCTGGACACTGCCAAGAATGTTCCTTGGAATCATCACTGGGAATCAATGACTTTTAAAACATTTAAAAACCCAGCTTTTTTTTTTTTTGGTGAGAATGCATCTCAGAAATGATCACTAAAATCAGTGCTGGAATTCTCAACATAATGACATATATTGTTCAAGACATTTTTATATAAAATAACATCAAGCTGTAACATTATAATTATGTTCCTAAATTGTATTCTCATTTATAAATCTCTCATTTTGCTGCCATAGTTACTTGTATGATTTTGTGATTTTGTGTTTTTCCATTTAAATTTTATTGTTTAACATTACCTTGATGCCATTTTTAGAGCATATTTAAATACATTTGAGCAGAAAATAGAAAGAAAAGAGTCATAGTAGTTGATTTTGTTTATCAACTGGTGTAACAACTGGAGAATGTTGATTGCATTTGATTTCATATACATAGAGATATGAATGGTTAAAGTCATTCTGGAAAAATCAAAATACATAAGTAACAATAAAATTTAATATTCAAGTTGCAGGTCGTTGTGACTGAAAAAAAAACATTAGTGACAAAAAAATTTATCTGTTTCTGAGAGTTTTGTTTTAAGGAGAGCAAGAACTAGTATTAGGCATGGCACTAGAGAAGAAAATCAATTTTTAACTAAAAATGTAATTGGGCTGACTGGGAGCCAGAAGCAATTGTATGTTTTACATACTCAAATGAGTAAATACATGCAAGTAATTGTCAAATTTTAGCTCACCAGTCTTTAAGCAAATCAGTCAAAGGATCTAAGTCACATTTGTATTTTTGAGCCACATGCTTTCAAGATTTTAATAGTGGCTACAGATAATCACCTATAATGTAAAAATTGTCCATTCTTTCTTTAGTTAACATCCCCAAAATGATGTTTACTGTAATTTGAGAAAATGGAAGTCCAGTTTTAATGTTGCAGTTTAATTATGCCCATAAGACTGGACAATGCAGGATTAAAGACACTAGTGTTAGCCTCAATACAATGTGCAGTATTTCATGATTTGATGGAAAAAGCCATTTTATAGTGTGACTCTTAAGTCTTTATTAGTTATATGCTTTATAAGTAATACATGTTTTAGGCATATATATCTGTATTTTTAAGCCTAGGTAGATATGGTTTTCTGATCAAATCTGTGGTCAGAAAAAAACACTTGTTTTCTCTGTATTCTGACAGGAAAGGAAAAATTATATGCTTATAAAAGGATACTCAAACCTTTTGTATTTATAAATTTGCATTCTAGAAAAAGCTGTGAAAGAACTGAGAGTGGGAGAATTTTGAATATATGTATTTCCCTTGCTTCAGTTCTTTTCAAATAATTGACTACTTATGAAAAGCTTGGCCAGAAAAAAGTATTCCCAATAATTTTCCAAATTAGATCTAACCTTCTTTACATGGTCAAGAAACTAAAAATTATATGTGAATTCTTGCTGCTTAAAATTCAGGATACATTTTCTCTGAAGCATTTGCTTAGATTATTAAGAGAGTCAATATAAAACAATGTTCTTGTACTAGTGTTGGGAATTAAAAATGTGTTTGAACTGAGTAAGGACTTATGTGAATGTTCTGTGCTAGAATGATGGGGTATTGTGATCCATTTGAGTCTGTGTTTATCCCCAAGAGTGAATAAAATAAATGGCCAGGTTTTATACTTGATGTAATTATTTGTATTTCAGTGGGTATTTCCCCCCTGGAAGGCAAAGCAAGTTCTGTGTGATCTTGGCATTAGTGAATTTTAGAGCTAACTACATAAATGTGTAATGCACTGTTTTAATCTTTAACGCTGGAGTTGTCTTTATGTCATTGGTTTCATTCAAGCTGTATCAAAGCTGGGTCACGTACTAGAAAGAGGGACAACTAAATTAAGATATGCTTGCCCAGAGATGTTAAAATGTAAAATGTTTTGGGGAAAACCTCAACATCAAATGTAGTTTCTTAAGTATAGAAGTTCTTTTCTCATGGTCTTTAAGACTATAGAGATTTCACAGATACACCAATACCTTCTATATGTGCTCAGTTACCTTAGAGATGTTAAAATTGGGGCGCACAAAGAAAAGACCTCAGCAATCAGAGGCTTTAAAGTGAGACCTCAACCATCAGAGGATTTAAAGCTTTAGCTTACAAAATTTTATTTTACAATCACAATCTTCCAATGATGTTTAAGCTGGATGAGTAAGATATTATTGCTAAAGTTATCACTCATAATTCAGTGGAAAGTTTGTGTCATACCCTATTTTGTGACACAATTTTAAAGTATTTATACATTCAAACTGACAGTATGAAAAATACAAGTTTTACCTAGAAGATTTCTAACACTAGCAAATTGACAGTAGTACGTTATCACCAATTGACCTAAGGTTATAAATGTATGTTTGAAGAGATACATATGATGATTTTATTTAGGATTTGGACATTTTAAGAGATGCATGCCAGTGCCCCCAGAAATCTATCATAGACTTGTTTTACAAGAGTCACAACATACATGTAAATGTGTCTTCCCTGTTGGAGCCTCATTGAATATGTGGAAGGAGAGCTTCATCTCAAAAGGACCATTGACATGAAAACTAAATGGTATGACAAGGTCCTTCCAGAAAACAAACCCCTTTGGATGGGATCAAAAGTGGATCCATGTCATACTTGATTACATACCACAGAAGATCAAGTTATGCTGAAGCTTCATGTTTACTTTAAATAACAAGATGTAATCCTAAAGCAGTCCCTTTGTATTGTATCCATTTTATCCATAAGTGTTGATAGTTCCTAATTTTCTTCCCATTCATGTTTTGTCAATACCGGAGAAGGTCAAAATGATAAAAGAATGTTACCCTTTAATTCTACCTTTTTTCTTAAATTGAAATTTCTTTGTAGTGCAACAGTAACTACTTTTCTTACACTGTATTATAAACAAATGATTATAAGTAAATGTTGCCAGGATAGGAGAAGCTATCTTTTTGTATTATATCCTCCTCATTCGATTTTTTTTCAATCTAAGGAATATGCCTATTAAAACCTCAATGCTGAAAGAATTCTGTGTTTCAAGTTGAGGGAAGCTAAATTTGTTACTTTCTGTGCATTTTCACAAACTTAAATGGCTATTGGTGATAGGTGTATTTTTAATGCCACTTGTTACAACTAGGAATTTCTCACTGATAATTTTAGCTAATTGCATCATTTATTCTGTACTTGATTTAGTCAAATTTTTCTTGTCTTTCTAATGTTCTTTAATGCCTTTTTCATTCATTTAGTCATTTGATTTTTTACTCTTTCAATTTTTGTCCAAAGTTAGAAAATTTTTAGAGATTATAATTTTAAATTATCACAAAGACCCCTTTGGGTTAAGTGGTTATTTTTATTTTCCCATGAAGGTTGTACTTTACTAAACTTTATTTTTCCATTGCTTAATGTCTAGTTTTTTTAATATGAGTCTCAAAAAGAACGTTTATTATTTAGCTTGGATTAGCTTGTTAAAAAGAGCACAGTTAGTAGAGAGAAATATGCTGAATATATCAAATATTTACAATGAGCTTTACTTGGTACAAGGCATACTGATGAGCCAGATGGTATTTCCATGATAAACCAGTTGAAATATTTTCTGTGACTTACCAGTCAATAAAATAACAAGCCAGATGAGTTAAGCAATAGGATTGACTAATTTCTTTTTTCTCTGAAGTAGTATTTTTTCCAACCAGTTCAATTAATTGAACCAGCTTGGCATAATCAAACTTGTTATGTATTTAAGCATATTTAAGAGTCTTTCCCCTCTATGTATGTGCTAATTTAACTAATAACATTAACTGATGACATTGATAGGAACTGTTTGCTAAAAATAGAAACCTAGAGAAATAGCAGTTTGAAGGAAATTGAGGGCTAATAATTACATTTCTTGGAAGGGAAAAGACACAAGTACCCTAGGTAGACAATTCTGGTAATAGTCCAGGCAGAATAAAATATTCCCTTGGTCATTACCTCACACTTCAGGTGTATGTATTTTAAAATATGCTTGTAACCATTGACTACTACTATTTCCTTCCCTCCTTTTTGTTTGGGGAGAAGAAGGGTAGGTACTAACCAGGAAAAATTATCTTTAGTTCTGTAGATGGTAAAAGTAAAGAAGAGAAGTCCTCAAAATAGAAATAGTGACTCCAGGCGAGAGGAAAGACAATAAAAATTTAAGTTTGATTATGTTTAAATGCTTATGTTTTTAGAACTTGATTTTAAGTTCATTTACAGTGTTAGGATATTTTAAAGTCAGAAAGCTATTAGAGCATTTAAAAAGCATACTGAATATTAGTTTTTCTCTCACAGTGTATCTGTTTCAAAGAATTGGAGAATAATATTCTGTTAAGTGAATGTTTTCTTTGCTACATTTCTATTATGGTGAACTTTTGGTCAGATTTATTGTTTAGCATCGTCTGTATTTAAAACCAAGATGTCCTGACAGAGAGGAAAACAGTTATAAACAGAGTCACATCACAGTGACTGTGTGTATGTATTGTTGAATCTGCCATTCAAGGATTTGTTGTAGAGGCATGAAATGCATCCTTAGAAATAAAATAGTTATTTATTTCCTTGGGATTTATGGTATTCATCAGTACAGGTGACTCCTATGATTACCTGTATAATCTCAGGATTTCCCATTGCCTCAAGTTTTGTTTCTAAAAGACAGGAATAGTTGAACTGGACCCTATTCCAAAATTAGCATAGTAAAACATAATCTTTACTGTGTAATTTTATAATAGCTTACAATTCTTCAATTAACATGTAAAACTTCTGACCTTTTTAAAAATATCGTATAAGGTGGAATATTGTAAACTCCCAAATTACATTATCATTCCTTTTCCCTTTCTCTCTCTCTTTCTTTAATTTCTACTTCACTACATTAGAATTTAACTGTCATTTTGGTAGGATGTATGATTTCAAGCTATTAAGGTGAGCTGTATAACAGGGAAGGTCAAAACCGTGAACTGAGTCCTAAATTATGTAGCCTACCCCAGTGACTTACATTGTACTTTCCATTGTATTTATGCTTGGCTTTTTAAGCGAATTTTGTTTATCTGTACAAAAGTATTGTCACAATACAAAATAGTTGTAATATGCCACTTTTTGAGTGTCTAGCAATGCATATTAAAACAATAGAACTGTGAGTCTATATAAATATGCTAAGAGAGTTTTCATACTGGCTAAAATGGCAACATCTTGTCATGTGAAGATACAGTTCATTTGTGATCATTATTTTTGTGTTTGTGATTGCATTAAAATTTTTATTTTTAATGTGTTAATTGTATACATAGCTAATCATTAAGATCTGTAAGATAAACATAAAACTTGTGAATTTTAGTTTCACTTCAGGATAATTTCACAAACCACTAGATTATTTTCAAATGCTGTGAAGCTTGGAATTGGGAGTGCTCTTAAGTTAATGCATCCTCATGTACTGTTTAATTCAGTATATATATTATCTTAACTTTAAGAAAACAACCTCCTATTTAATACTTAAATACAGGCCTGAAAATGAGATCTATATATGCAACTAAAGATTATTTTAAATGATAGATAAATGTGTGTGCCTATGAATGGTGAAATGATTGTGTTACATAATTACCATACTTTTGATGATGTACCATAAAATGGCTTTGAGAAGACAGCTATGCTTATTTTGACAGAAAAAATATGTCTTTCTAGCAAATACTCTCGTATTGGCCTTTCATACTCCCACTTTTGTAACCTTTTCTGAGCATCTGTAACATTTTACTAACCTAGAAATATGGTTTATCTTTTTTGGGAGAAGATCTGAAATAGCTTTCTCATACATCAATCAGGATGTGAGTGAGCTAATTCTTTTGAGTTACTCATCATTATTGTTCTTTTAAAGGTGGGATTCTGACAAAGTTAATTTAATTTAAATAAGTTTCTAACTGTGAGATAAATCTTCCCATTTTGAAACACTGCATGGTATTTTTGCTTTATAAATAGTATTTCAGTGTTTATGCCATAGATTAAGGTGAGTTGGGAGTGAAGTGGAAACCTTTACCATACTGTTTGTTTTTGGAGATTGAAAGGAATATCCATGTACTAAATAACATGTTTCTTGATTTCAGCCAAGTTCAAAAACTGCAGAAATAGATAATTTTAAAATGATAACTATGTGTCATTGTTGTTGTTGTTGTTGTTGTTGTTGTTGTTTTGTGTGTTGTTTGTGTGCGTATGTATTTTCTTTTTCATTTTAACCAGCCTCTTATACCTAGAAGTCCCACAAGCAGCGTTGCCACGCCTTCCAGCACCATCAGTACACCCACCAAAAGAGACAGTTCTGCCCTCCAGGATCTCTACATTCCCCCTCCTCCTGCAGAACCATATATTCCCAGGTATAAAACTATCACGTTGTCCTAGGCAGCTTCTAGCTAAAGGTAAACCTAACAGCATATAAACTGCAAAGTCAATTCTGAAGGAACACCTTGAATATTTTCTCACAGTTAGGAATTCTGAACACATTCTGCAAAATCATTCCCATTATAGAGCATGCATGTTTATTAATAATAATAATAACTAATTTGTATATAAATACTTGCTGTGCATTAAATAATTTATACTATCTCATAATAGGAAAGAAGAAGAAAGTAATATTAAATAATAATTAGGATTATTTTAATAAGTAAACAATAAGTGAGGCTGTTTGGCTAAAAAGCCCCAGAAAATTTCAGGTTACTTTGAAGCATTTCATACATTTTTTTTTTAAAAAAAGAGAAAGCTATAGATAACTTTTATGCTTTCTTAAATGTAAGTAATGAGGAAGATTTTATTTGGTAATGATGATGAGGGAGAATGTCTTTTTCCCCTAATAATCCTGTGTCTGAAATTTTTATTTCATTAATTCATTAATGTTTCTTTCAGGAAGTAGAGTTTACAAGGGAATGAATTACCCTTAAAGTCTATTTTCTAGATTTCTTGAGGCTGTATCTCTATTTCATTTATCGATTCTTATTTGAAAATCCTTGCAGATGTGGAAGAATACAGCTTTATGTCATAATGCATTCTTCCTAAAAGCATTCTGATATCCAGCCTTGTGAAATACAAAAATTATGGAAAAGGACTAGCACTAAATGGGGATCATTAATACCAATCACAAAAAAACTTGATTCAGTTTTTAAATTAGTTCTGCATTCAAAAACAATAATTTAAGGTCTCTTGTTTTCAAGCCATAAATAGTATTAAATTTCTTTCATATATAAAAGAACTAAATTCCTTGTGTTTAATTTCCATTATTCTTTAGTACACTTAGTGTTTCAGAAATCTGTATTCTATTAGATATGATGGTTTACTGACATTATGTGATCTAAATGCTGCATGGCAATATGGTTTATCTGCAAATACTGTGTTGTCATCTAGTAATATAACTATAGTTAGTTTTATATATATTTTAGTTCTTTGAGAATTAAATATAGCCATTGGAACATAACTTATAAGATATAGTTTACTAAGCTGGCATTTCATAAATCTAATATATAATTTACAGTCTTGTGTTCAATTTACAAGCAAATATACAAATCCATCCAATATCCTACTAAAATGCTAGTTGCATTTTAATTCTGTTAAGACAGTGTCAGATTTTCCACATATGCTTGCATGAGGAACAATGAAAGTATGTGTGTTCCAAACAGGAAGTGACTTTTTATGATTTGTTTACATTTTATTTGGAAAGATTTTTATTTCAGAGCAAATAATTATTTAAAAGGCCTTATTCTTCAGAGGGCTACATACACAGATAAACATTAAAAGATTATTTTTATCAAATCTCTGTAGTTTTAAAATGTTCTTTCCTCTTGGGTAGTGAGGAACTTGTTACAAAGAAAGTGTCTCCTCTACAGAAAATATTTAAAATACACTTAAGAGGACAAAAGAGTAAAATGATCCAGTTTTGTCTTCTGAGTGTGGTGGACATATTATAAAGGCTATATATTGAAGCCAATAAAAAGCTTGAAGATGCTATTTAAAAATATTAGAGAATGTGAAATTGAAATATCAACATAGTGACCCTTGTTTTGTCAGTATTGCTTGAAAACTCCATACTTTTCTGTAAAATTCATAGTGTTTACTATATCACTGCAACTGATTCTTAGTTGGTCAGTGTATAATTTAACAGAATATTCTAAATACATTTTGAGTCAAATTATTACTTACCCAGTCATAAAGTCTTTCGATATTGGAGTCAGGACAATCCATGCATCAAAGCCCCTTTGAACCACAGCCTTATATAAATGTCTGCATTTTCTGGCTTGATTTTAAGTTGACAGTCAAAACTTTTTGCAGTCGTGATTATTTTTACAGATACAGCCTTGGCACTTTTTTCCTATTTTCTTATTTTGAAGATGAATGTGATGGACTTAGTTTAATTCCTCTGAACATTTTTCCCCATATTAAAAAACTTTGTTTATACAGGATAGGCATTTTGGTGGTATGTGAACATATATGTTTGATTTGGATGGCAAATAATAAAACCTCTCTCATCTCAAAAAGAAAACAGACTTGAAAAATGATAGGACTAGTTTTCAAATTAGGCAGAATTTTTTTCATGTGGTTATGATTTTTTGAACACATTTAATCCAGAAAAAAAGTTATTGCAAAAGTGCCTTTTTCTCTAAAAGATAAAACACTCATGTATGTGAAGTGAGTGAAATTTGGTTGGCATTTTATTATATGTCTTGTGACTAAACACAGTTTCATTATCATTATATATAGTACATTTCTGTACTTAACCAAATTTCTTTTTCTATGATAAAAATGTAGAATTTATAGGTCTTTGAACAACTATGACATTTAAGTACTAATTTCTCCTATTAACTCTACTGTGTGCCATTAAATATAAAGTTAGTTCAGTAAAGCAATGCTCTTTTAATGCTTCCTTAAATCCTTTCTAGAGCAAAGGCACAGATTTATTACTTACGTGCATTAACTTACAATATTAAGAAAGGTGTAAAAACTCTTTACATCAGAATGAATTAACACACTGAGTTCTCCAGGGACTCATGACGTGAATATATACATTAACACACACACACACATACACATACACACATTTACATACACAATACATGTATCTACTCATTCTACTGAAAAGTTTGGTTTTGCTTGGTACTTTTCTTAATTCAACAGTATTTTACTGCATTCTATATAGATTTGTTTTAAAAATCTACCCTGTTGATATAAGGTCCCTCCTTCATATTATTATAGGAAATACCATCCCTTTCAATTTCCTGCCACAAGATGTTTCCATATAAATATAGTATGTGTATTAATAGGGCTGAATCACCCTCTGATTTCAGCTGCATTAACATTCATGTCACAAGCCTCATAGCTTGAGGTCTGGTACATTGACAGATACGCATAACCTTACTCCAGTGCCACAAATTCGTTAAGGCTGCTTCCAAGCTAGTTGCAGTCTCAATTTCTTTTTGATAGTGGACTAACCAGGCAATTTGTTCAGGAAAAGTTTTCAGCAAGCTGAAAGAAAATTCTGCCTGGATTTTATATTTATTTCCTTCATGTTGCCTAAGAACTATCTATATAGTTCTATTGTGGTAATAAGCAATACTTTTATTTTAGAAAATAAAAGAGTAAATTGTAATGTAAATGGCAACAACACCTTGTGATGGGTTAAACAGATAAGAAAACTCACTGATTGTCAGTCTGGAGAATGTTGTTTACTACTTTCTACATATTTCAAATACTGGGAATATAGTTTTCTACATTTGGACAAACCTAAACATTTACACACAGAAGCAGAAATACAGGCTTTTGCCAGACTGGGGCTCATATTTTAGAATTCACATTACTTTTATAAGCTCATCACCATTTTATAAGGTATAATAGGAATTAATTAAAAATTTGTTCTTTTTATCTGTCTTGTTATAATTTAGTTTATTCTATGAATTTAAGATTTTAGTCTCATCACTTAACATAAAATTAAATTGTTTTTCTGGTTTGACAGCATTTATTCATGGCACTGTTTAGGGTAACCAGAAACAATTAAGAACAAGGAAGAAATTTAACTAATGGTCCACAAGGGGGGAAACATTGCATTTACATTCATAGTCATGTTCTAGAAGACAAGCTTTTCTGACAAAAAGTTCATAGGTAAGCAGTGAAACATGTCATAAAATAAACAAGATTCAATTTAACAAATCACAAATGGACTATTTCTATCAAAATGGGCTTAATCTGGGCTTAATTACCTATTGCAGTGTGTGAGTAATAGGTTTTAGGGAGCCCATAAATTATTAGAGATGTTTTTCTCTAGAATCCTATAGAAGAAAAAAATCAACTTGCCATCACCCTAAATGCCATTCTTAAACTCTATATTTTATCAGATTACCTTCTCTCCTCAAGAAACATTGATGTATAATGAAATTTTGATATATCCATTTAGAATGAGTTCTAGGAATATGTCTTTTTACTCTTAAATGAGATACGTAGAGTTTGAATACTGAGAATAATTCTTTTAAGGTTTATTTTAAATTAATAACATGTTGTTTGAATTTCTTATAATACAAGTTTATATCATGCTAATTTGATTCCTAAGGCTGCAGTGCTCCTTATGGTAGTTCTTAAATATATTTCTATTTTTAAGCAGTGCAGATTTTTACCAAGAATCAATCAGGTAAACTGGCAGAAGAAAACATTATACTTAAGTTAACATTACTACCATTATACCTACTGTCTTGAACACTAAAAACAATTTATGTGCTAAGGTAAACTGGCAGAAGAAAGCATTATACTTAAGTTAACATTATTACCA